>NC_000001.11:55765956-55917471 GCF_000001405.40 Homo sapiens | reverse complement strand
ACATGTACAACCTATACAGCTATATAAGAAGCCCTTGAATAGAATGAGTGCAAATGATTAAGGGAGGAACGGATGATTGATTGAATGAATGAATAAATAAATGAATAAAAAGTATAGCAATAGAATAGACAATGGATTGAGAACCAGGAAATATGGTTTCTAGCCTTAAAGTCTTTCTTTTGTGTGACCCCCGGAAACTCACTTCTAATTTTATAGTTCAGTTTTCTTATTTGTTTGATTTACTCTTTTTGATATGGCACAGGTTCTTAGCTTGTGTTTAATTAATGAATAAGGATAGTCGTCCTGACTTCATACAGGAAAGGAGTCTAACATCTGTTGAATAATACTTAACATGTGCTACCACCCTGCCAAACACACACACACTCTCTCTCTCTCTCGCAGTGTTAATCCTTTTAACCATACTTAAAAGTAGTTATAATTGTCATCACTTTTACCAATGAAAAAATTGAAATTCTAATATATTAACTGATGTTTCTGTTTCACACAGAGTAAGTAAATAGGATAAAATTGGAGGCTGTTACAGACCCAAACCTTTCAATCTCACCATGTTGCCACTTGTTTGAGAAACTGAAAAAAGTATACATATGCAAAGTATTACCAGTGTTGCAGATATTTGCCCAAAGGCACATGTCTAAGTGTTTGTTTCTATACAAAATAGTCAGACCGGTTCTCATACCAACTCACACGGGATGTGAGGCAACAGATAGACCCAAATATTTATTAAGTGGGAAAGTAAGATGTCCATAAGTTGATAAAGACTGTTTTGTTTTGCTTTTTTTCTTGTGACCAGGCAACTAATAGCAAGTGAAGAAAAGGAATTGTTGGCAGACAACTTGGCTAAAGCACCAGACTTCTTTGTCATCCAGTCAGACACTAGGGGTGAAAAAAAATCTGCCTGGTTATCTTTGTCTGGTCTCTCTTGGCTGAAAAACAGGGTACTCTTCAGAGGTAAAAGGGATGGTCTGTTCCTTATCATTAAATGACCCTACACACAGAGATACCTCTGAGTAAAAGGGGAAAAATTCTCAGATCTCAAATTTTTTTTTTTGTAAAAAGTAAGAACAATATTTGAAAGAGAGATAGAGCATGAATGATGGGCATGTATGAGATTATTAGATTAAGAATTTATCTTGTAATATGCTAACAGTCCGTTTTCTAACTATGTGAAATGTATGTGAATGTATACATCTAGAGTAAATATATTGTGAGTTAGATATATATGTGTCTATTTAATTTTCATCACAAATTGTTACTCTTCCTTTTCTCAGACATCTTATTTTCCTTTCCCTTTTGCCTTGATTATCAGGAATGTCAGAAGTCATAACCATGCCTGATGACAACAGTTTCCTTTGGCCTGGTGTGGTATTGTAAATTGTCGCTTTTAGACCAACTTTTTAGTGATAGACCCTCTCTATGCTTTTTGTTGTAAGCTACTGCAGATTCTTGCCACAGGTATGAAGTAAATTCTGTTAATAGCCTTGATTTTTCACCTGTGCCACCATATATATCTTTGCCATGGCCTCATGATGGATGGAATATACTTCCCTGCCCCTTGACTTGATACTTGACCATGTAACTTTTTTGGAACAATGAAAGATGATGGAAATGTCAGTATACCTGTGCTCAGGTATACTGTGCTAGGTCTTAAGAAGCCTCCAGTGTTTCCAGCTATACATCTGCAATCACCATGAGAAGGACCTGCTCAAGCAAACCACTAGTCACAGGAGGAGAATGAGAGACACATGGAGCAGAGCTGCCCTCAGAGTCCACCTAGATTAGTTGTCAGCAGACCTCCAGTGGACTTGTAGAAACACAAGCAATAATAAAAGGCTGTTGTTTTAAGCCACTGAGTTTTGGGGTAATATTTTATTCAGCAAGTTAACCAGTACAAGGTAGATGGAAAATATCTATATTTCCATGTTGATCTTTTAAATATACATATTTGTATTTATGGTTAGTGAGAAAGTTTTCATAAATGAGTGAAAAGTCTTTAATTTTCATAAACAGAATATTATTGTATAATTTAATACTTTTGAATATTTCTATGGTTTCAATGTCCTGCCAAAACTCATGTTGAAACTTAATTGCCACTGTAACAGTGTTGAGAAGCAGGACCTTAAAGAGGTGATTAGATTATGGGACTCCACCCTCATGAATGGATTAATGCCATTACCAAAAAAAGTGAGTTAGTTATTGCAAGAGTTCTGCCCCGTATTCCTCTCTTGCTCTTCTTACGTGCACTCTGTTGCCCTTCCACAATGTTATGAAGCAGCAAGAAGGCCTTCACCAAATGCTGAGCTGCTGTCGGTCCCATGCTCTTGAACCCAGCCTCCAGAATCATGAGCCAAATAAACTATATATATATATATATAGTGGTATTATAAACTATATATAAATATAGTGGTATTCTGTTATAGCAGCAGAAAATGAACTAAGACAAATATGGTATTTTTTTACCCTGTTTGATAAACTTCATTCTTCAAAACTGTTATATCAGAATTATCTGTGAAGCCTTGCTTGATATCTCTCAACAACTAAATACATTCCTACTCTGTGCTAAATGTATATCTTCAACATATTTCTATTTTTTTCTCTCTCACTAGATTTTTATGACACCCAAGTTCAGGACTATGTTTTATGTCTCTTTGTAGCACATTTTATGGACATATCAGTCATCCAAAAATATATATAACTGGATATGCTCAATGATAGATTTTCAATCAGTTCACATATTGAGAATATAGTATTAAAATGGATGTCTTTAAGCAATACTGGATATTTGCTTTTGAAAAACAAAGCATTATTGGTGCTAAAGCACAGTATAGTACATAAAATCTAGTGCGGTGAAATACTAGTCGATACAAATAAGCTCTCAAGCCCACACTTGCTCTCAGACATCTAGATGAAAACTGACAGACATACCACAACAATTCTGGCCTTCAGTGAGACAGGCAGAGCCAAATTAATTTACCATTGATTCTCAGAAGGTCTCAGTTACTTCATTATTCCTTATAACACAGAACGAAATAATGTGTAAATTACCTTCAACAGCATCAACAAAATCAAGGGAAAAGTGTATGTAGCTCAATGAAGTGATGATTTTGGGAAGAAAATTTTATTTGATGGTCTAAACACAATGTATGGACAGAAAATATTTATACTTTAATGTGAATATAAAACATAGCATAGAACTAGGAAAAAAAATCTGTTGACTGTAATGGGCACCAGTGTTCCAGTCATAAAATTTGTTACATTGCTTAGATAAATGATGGTAAAGTGGTCCCAGCTCCTAGGATTGAAATATGGTCAGCTGGTGAGAGGGAAGGACACGGGTTACTCTGGGATTTACATCTCACTCTAAATCATTTGTAAGCAGTGAAATGACTGGAGTCCATAAATTCTGACAAGGATTCTCTACCTACAACAAAATAGTTAAACTAGAAGGAAAATGTGGTACAATAACAATTCTAATATTTCATGTCTATTAAGCTAGGGCTCCTCTGCATTTTTCATGTATTAATGCATTTAAATCTCACAGCATTCTGCAAAGTAGGGTTACGGAATCTTGGGATGTCACTTCACCAGCCAGAAACCTCTGTGGCCAGTGGTGCCTTCACCCGAGTTTTGCTGGGGCCCACTGGGCCCACACTGCATGGAAGGCTGTGCTCGGCTTGTGCTACCGGCCTGGATCCCATGCCTGCCAAGGGCAAGTGGAGCAGTGAGGGGTGTGTGAGCGAAAGAGCATGGGGTCCAGCCATCACACACAGCCAGGCATACTGGCTGCAGTGGGCCAGGCAACTCCAGGCACCGGTACAGCCAATGGCTCCCTTTGAGGCTGTGGCTGGACCAGACATACTGCAAATAGTTGCTTCCGTGGCTAGCACCAGGGAACATGATGGCGCCTGGAAGCTTGGTGACTCCAGGAACCACAGAGCCCCAGAGAGGGCATCACAGCCCTAGCTCAGGGAGCTCCTAGGTTTGGGCTCTCCAAAGGGCCACAGTTCTTCTCTCCTCCTCTCTTCTCTCCTTCTCGTCACCCACAATGTGGTGAGCAAGGGGCATATTTCAAGCCGTATTTGTGTTACAGCTCTTTTAGCACTGCCATTCGGTGGGTCCCGAGTTCTTGTCCTGCACCCAGGAAGAATGAGGTACATGAACAAGTAAAGAGTGAGCAAGGTGAAAAGGAGCTTTATAGTATGACAGAATAGCTCAGAAGAGACCTGCAGTGGATAGCTCCTCTCCAAAGGCAGGGTGTCCTGACTGCAGCTTGTCATTCCAATGTCTGCCCAGCTCTCAGCTAAGAGGAGACCCTGGAGTGGGTAGCTCTTCTCTGCAGCTGGCCACCCCCAGTGTCTTCTCAAATCTGGCTGAGTCCAGAGTTTCTATGGGCTTCAGAAGGGAGGAAGTGTGTGCTGATTGGTCCATGGGTGGCCATGGGTGGGCTGGGGAAAAAGCACCATAAGTTCTCCCTCATGTCTGCAGGACTGGCAGCCCTGCCCCTAGGCTTCAGGCCTTCCTGGGCTTGAAGGCGGGGCTTCACTGGGAACCTACCTTTTTCCACCCAGGAGCCTGTCTGCCTCCTACCACTGTTCATGGTGCTCAGGCTGTTTGTGCCCAGGGGCACCTGGAGGCCAGTGCCAAGCTATCCTCAGGCACCCTCCCCCCTGCTTCCCTCCCATGCTCATTGGCACCCAAAGTCTGGAGGGGGGCCTAGGCGGCAGGGACCTGACATGTCAGTGCTGCCCTGAGCTTGTACACATTCAACTGAGTTGCGACAGCACCCAGGCTCAGCCTCAACTTCGCTCCAAGATCAGAGTGGGTACTGGGAGCGGGGAGTGGCCAGAGAACAGGAGCAGGCACTCCTGAGCCTGTGGGAGAGCAGGTACTCCTTAGCCTGCACCCGGACATGTGGGGCTCCTGTCTGCTTCTGGCCCGCAAGAGTACAGGGATGCCCAGGTCTGCAGCCATGGCTGGGCATCTGCAGCTGTACCTAGGGAGCACAAGGCTCCCTCCCTTCCAATTCAGAAGTGAGTGGTGCTTCCACCTGTTTCTGACTCCCACCGGCTCCATGCAGCATGCAGCCCTGGCCATGCCTCCCCCAACTGCAGCCAGTATCATGGCAGCAGCCTCTTTATATAGGCTGCTGCTGCCATCAGTAGCATTACTATTATGCCCATTTTATAAATCACATTTTAGTTAATGTTTAATATGGCTTTCTTCTTCCCTCATTTCTTTTTTGTAAGTATTTTTAAATTTAAAAAAATTTTAATTACTGTGAGGGTGCAATAGTTATAGTTATATAATAGTTATATATTTATGAGGTACATATGATGTTTTGATACAGGTATACAATGTATAATGATCAAATTAGGGTAATTGGGGTATCCATCATCTCAAGAATTTTTCCTTTTTTGTATTAGGAACACTCTAATTTTACTCTTTTAGTTATTTAAAAATATATAATATTTTATTTTTAACTAGAATTGCCCTACTGTGCTATTGAATACTAGGTCTTATTCAGTCTATCTAACTGTGTGTACCCATTAACCATTCCCACTTTATCACCCATTCCCACTACCTTCTTCTCCGATTTGTGAGTTCCCAATCAAGGAATGAAACAAGCAGAAATCAACATATCACATTATTTTTAAGTCATGATAAGAAAAGGTAGCTTGGTCTATGTCAAGACTGCCTTCCTATTACGTTCCTCCAAGTTCAAACTTGTTATACAAAGAATACCTTAACAGACAAATATATACTGCATAGATTTGAAAAGTATTCATATTGCTAACATTCTCTCTTCCCTGATATGGTATACTTACTAATACAGTAAAGAGTCACTAAATAATAATTGAACAAAAAATTTACAAATGAATATATGGATAGGTGGATGGATCTGGACTTGAGAAAATGAATCTTGTTTAGCTATCTGGGTAATAATAAAATCCATAAGATACTTGAGGAGTTGGTGCAGATAATAAAGAAGACATCATCTGGCTGGAAGTGAGAATGAACCTGGAGAGGTAGCACATTGGATGGAAGGAAATTCCAAGATACTATGGATAATATTGGCAAGGTGTGTTATTAAATTATTTAGGAATTTCCCCTCACCTAGTAAGAAAATTTATTGCTCCTCAGAGATGGGAGGGGGTGAAGTAAGAGGATAATCAAAGGTAAAATTAAGGAAGTTAAAAAGAACCCACCCACATTTCTTAATTAGCTTCAAGGGGGAAATTACTGCCAAGCATAATGATGCAGAAGTTAGAATGTCTTTATTCTGCAGGGGGAAAAATTCCTCCTTCTGCCACATTTTTTTATCCAATTTAATTGGCTTATATTTGTCTGTCAGTAATGTAGGCAATTCCAAACCAAATAGGTTTAACTTTCCTTATAAAAGGACCAAAATAGCTGCAAAAGGCTAGATGTATGTCCATCACACAATCTTGGCAAGCAATATTTGCCACATGAAACATGGGTTGTTCTCCCTTTCTGCTCAGAACTGTAGGCCACACCTTTCAAAGTGCAATGAAATGTTTGGGATAGTTGAAACTGGCCCTATAAATACTCTTTTAGGTATTTCTTCAGTAAGCAAAAGAGGAAGGAAACCCACCATAACAGTAATGTGGAATGGTGACCAGGTTTTTGCCAGTAATAGAGAACACATACGTGGCCACTGCCTTTATTCCACATACCACCCACTCCACCCTACTTTTAAAACAGCAACTGGGTGATGCAATTAGTAAAATAAAAAACACACCATATGAGAAAACCATGGGGGGTAGTGGATATGTCACTATCTTAAATGTAGTGAGGGTTTCACGAGTATATACACATGTCAAAACTTATCCGTTTGTACATTTTAAATACATGCATCTTATTTTATGTCAATTATACTTCAAGAAGCTTGTTTAAAGCAAAACAAAACAAACAGAAAAACATCATATAAAATGGAAGGATGGTCCTGGTAAGAAACTAGGAGTTGAGAACTTATGTAGCTGCTTGGATAGGCCCAGAATATATATAGCTTCCAGCTATATTATCCACATTACTTACAGAGCGGTCCTTTAAAAATCGAAGTCAGATCATCTCCCCCTCTGCCTAAGACCCTCCAGTGGTTTCCATTTCTCCTTGAGTGCAAATCAAAAGCCTCCTTATTCTCATAGGGCACCATAAGGCCCACCTCTCCAGCCCCTGTGACTCCTCTGGCTTTGACATCTATTACTGTCCTCTCTTCAGCCACACTGGCCCCCATGTTATTCTTTTTTTTTTAATTTTAATTTTTATGGGTACATAGTAGGCATATATATTTATGGAGTACATGAGATATTCTGAGACAGGCATATAATACATAATAAACACATCAGGGTAAATGGGGTATCCATCACCTCAAGCATTTATCATTTGTGTTACAAACCTTCTAATTATACTCTTAGCTATTTTTAAATGTACAATGAATTATTATTGGCTGTAGTCACCTTGTTGTGCTATCAAATACTAGATCTTATTCATTTTATCTAACTATATTCCTCCCCCTCACCTGTCACTACCCTTCCCAGCCTCTGGCAGCCATCATTCTACCCTCTATCTCCATGAGTTCAAAGTTTGTAATTTTTAGCTCACACAAATGAGTCAGAACAGGCAAAGTTCGTCTTTCTGTGTCTGGTTACTCCATGTTATTCTTGATCAAGCATAGTAAACTTACCTTGGGGCCTTTGCCCTTGCCATTTCCTCTGCTGGAAATGTTTCTTCTGCTACGAAACATGCACAAAATGTACCCTGGCTATGGTACTTCTTTTTACTTTGTATTCACATTTTACATCCTTAGTGTAGCCTTCCCAGATCTGGCTATAAACATATCACTCTCCTTCCTCACCTTCACCCCAGCGTTTCCCATTTCCTTGCCTGCTTTACTTTTCTCCATAGTACCTTATCGTCATCTGCTATTCTCTATAATTTACCTCGTTATTGTTTATTGTGTTTCTCCCCACCCTTCTACTATAATATAAAAGGCAGAGGTTATTGTCTATTTTGTCTACAGTAGCACATATATATGCATGCACTCAATAGAAAATTAAAAAATCATTCAGCCAAAGCAAACATATTCAAATTATGATGGATTTTATGTGCAATAATAAATAATAAGTATACTTGTATTTATTTATAGAGGATTATTTTCATCTCTTCTAAAAATTCTCTAGTGATATATGCCACTCCTAGACTCATGAAGTACAAAAATTAGAGAAACCTTAAAATTCATCTAATTCAGTCAGATACGTGAATGGCATTTAAAATATCTCAGCCCATCACTATTGAGTACTATGCGCAGTACTTGACCTGGGTGACCAGATCAATCATAACTCAAACCTCAGTGTCATGCAATATATCCAGGTAGAAAACCTGCACATGTACCCCCTGAATCTAAAATAAAGGTTGAAACTATATTGTAAAAAAAATCTCAGCTCATCTTAACATGAATATCTCCAGTATTGGGTAACTCTCTAATCATTTATTCCTAAAGCATTTCTAGTTACCATGAGGGTTGATTTTATGTGTCAACTTGAGAAGCTGTGGTACCAGATGTTTGGTTAAACATCATCTAGATGGTGCTGTAAATGGTTTTTTTTTAATGTGATTAATGTTTAAATTAGTAGACTTTGGGTAAAGCAGATTACCAAAATAATATGAATAGGCCTCATCCAATCAATTAAAGGTTTGAAGAGAAAAGACTGAAGTTTCCTGAAGAATAAGGAATTCTGCCTTTAGACTATCTTTAGACTCTAGACTGCAATATTAACTTTTCCCTGGGCTCCAGCCTGCCAGCCTGCCCGGAAGAATTTGGACTTGTCAGCCCTCACAATTGTATGAACCTATTCCCTACAGTCTTCCCCCACCCTCTCTTTCTCTCTCTCTGTCTGTCTGTGTGTATGTCTCTCTCTCTCTGTAAATATATATGTATAAAAAATGACATATAGAACATACATATATGATATATATTATGTCATATATACTTATATATGATGTTTATATTATATATACACATATGCACACACACACACATATATATGTACACATACATATGTATATAAATAAATGATTGGTTCTGTTTCTCTGGATAACCTTGTCTAACACAGCTACTCAGCCACTGCTTTGAGCCAGACACTCTTCTAGGCATTAGCATATGATGGTGAACAAATAAGTAAAATGTTGAGGACAGCTTCAAGATACTGAAAGTGCTGGAGAAAACTGGCTATAATGTTGCCTTTTAAAACTGAGTTGAAATCCCTATCTCTGTAGTTTTCATCTATTGTTTCATTTTCTTTCCCCTGAAACTGTGGAGAACTCATCTACTCCCTTTTTCACTTCACAGCTCTTCCTACACTTAGGGTGGGGGCGATCATCATATTCCTGGCCCCAGCCTTTCCTTTGTTAAACATCCCTAGTTCAACTCACTGATTTTCCTGTGCAATGTTTTCCAACCTTCTCACGATCTCAGGAGCCCTCCTCTGAACAAAGCCAGGTAATTTCTGCCTCTCTCAGCATACTTCCCAGAATGAACCGACACCAAATGTGCAGGAGCCAACAGACTAACATGGGGCTTCCCCTCCCTGCTCTGGGTTCTGCACCTCTATTTAAGCAGCCTCAATGGACTACACTGGAGAACTCAAATCTTAGACTGAGTAAACTCTATTAAGATGATGGGTGCACATTCCATCTTACCTCTATGAGGACCCAGTCTTTAAAGCCATTTTTTTCCCCTCATATTTAGGAAAATAGCCATTTTCCTAAAATGTTTAGAAAAATGTTTATTATGTTTATTTTTTTTTATTTATTTATGGTTTCATAATCCATAATTTAAAAATCTGATCATATTATCACCAACTTCAGTATGGCTGTAGATTTTGTATATATCAATATCATAAGGTACACATTCCTTTAATAATAATGACTAACATAAATCAAGCCTATTACATGTGAGGCAAAATTCTTAACACCTTACAAATATTACTTCATGTCCTCCTCACTGCCTGTTGAGGGAGATGCTCTAAGACAGCAGTCCCCAACCTTTTTGGCACCAGGGACCCAGTTTTATGGAAGACAATTTTTCCACAGACAGAGTGGAAAGATGGTTTTGAGACCAAACTGTTCCACCTCAGATCATCAGGCGTCAGTTCAGCTATCATAAGGAGCATGCAACCGAGAGCCCTCACATGTGCAGTTTACAGTGGGGTTCACAGTCCTATGAGCATCTAATGCCACCACTAATCTGACAGGAGGCAGAGCTCAGGCGGTAATGCTCACTCGCCCACCACTCACCTCCTGCTGTGTAGCCCAGTTCCCAACAGGCCACAGACCAGTACCTGTCCACAGCCTGGGGGTGGGGGTCCCCTGCTCTAAGAGTATCTGCATTTTACAGATGAGGAAAATGAGGCCCAGAGGACTGAGCAACTTCCCGAAACTACTCAGCTAGTAATTGGAAGAGTTGGGATTCACATCTAGGCCCTCTGGTTCTAGACTCGATGCTGTGGATCCACTGTGAGATACTACCTCTCCAGATGTCATTTATGGCCCCAACCAAGCTTTCCAACATCATGGTTCCTAGGTGCAAGCCCCTGGTCTCCACCATTAGGCCACACTCATGAACTCTTATGCACACACAACACTTAGGTTCACACAATGTACACTTGTACAGACACTCCAATCACATGGAATTTTCTGTCCCTGCCCGGATACCATACTCCTTCACATGCCACAGGCTATTGTTCACATGGTTATTTAAGTAAGAAATATAATAGTTCCCCCTTGAGCCCTTTCATAATAATAACAACATTAACAACTAGCCTGTATATATAGCTACATACCTTGAACTATGCTAAGCGCTTTAGATATACTGAATCATTTAATCTCACAACAAGCAACCCCATCAGGTAGACACTGTTAAATTGAACTAAATGTGGCCTGGAAAGCCTCTGTATTTCCACACTTGAGTCCTTATGGACGAACCATAACCTAACTTAATAAGTAGACAAGACTGACAACCTAACTTAGGAGCATGCTTCTATAACAATAGCTGAGTCTCAGCCAATCCCAGCAGTCATACTTCAACCACTCATAGGCAGCTAGCTGACTGTTCAAACTGCTTTCAAACGAAGCAAATGCCAAGCTGTAACCAATCCGGCTGTTTCTGTATCTCAATTCCATTTTCTGTATGTCACCTTCCTTTTTTTGTTTATAGATTTGCTGTGACCATGAGGCATCCTTAGAGTCTCTCTGAATCTGCAATGGTTCTGGAAGCTGCCTGATTCGTGAATCTTTTTTTCCCTTGCTCAGTTAAGCTCTGTTAAATTTCATTTGTCTAAAGTTCTTCTTTTAACAACACATTATTATTTTTTCAATAATATTATTGTTTTTCAATAATTTCCTCCTTTTACAGATGAAGGAATTAAGACAGAGAGATACATTAAGACACAGCTAATAAGTGGTGGACAGGAATCTTGTCCAGGTAGCCTGCTGCCCTCAACCACTCACCTTCTTTTCTTCAATCCCTTTTAAAATGCCCCCAATTCGGCCAACCAGAGACTTTTATTTTATGTATTTATTTATTTATTGAGACAGAGTCTCGCTCTGTTGCCCAGGCTGGAGTGTAGTGGCCCGATCTGAGCTCACTGCAAGCTCTGCCAGCCAGGTTCATGCCATTCTCCTGCCTCAGCCTCCCGAGTAGCTGGGACTACAGGCTCCCACCACCACGCCCAGCTAATTTTTTGTATTTTTAGTAGAGATGGGGTTTCACCATGTTAGCCAGGATGGTCTCGATCTCCTGACCTTGTGATCCACCTGCCTCGGCCTCCCAAAGTGACGGGATTACAGGTATGAGCCACCAGGCCTGGCCCAGAGACACTTTTTTAAGCATTTTCAACTTTTGGTTGTAATTATTTATTATTTCCCCCTGGTAAATTATACCATCTTCAGGGACAGGGCTTGCAGCATCTAGTACAATGTCTGAGACTCAGTATGTACTTGGTAAATAAATGTATGAATGAGATATTGAATCAGTGACTGAATGAAGGAGCACAGGGGAAAGTCTATTGCAATTAACGGTAAAGAATGAAGAAGAGAGATTGTTCTTTTATCCTTTTCCAGAAAGATCAGCATACAGGAACTTCCAAGAATCCAAGAAGAAAACAAATGCGAAAGAAAGGTAAAAACCAAACCACAGATAAAAGAAACAAAAATCTCTTAGCTAATAAAGGACCTAGGAAGACTTTAATAAGACTTCTTTATTAGAACTTGGGTATAATATTTCTTATTGTAATATGGAGCTCTGCAACAGTCCCTTTCTTACATCCGTTTTCTTACTTCATTTCCTGCGCTAATATTTCCATGACTCTGAGTTTGTACAACTCCTTTTCTGGGCCCTGTGTCCATTTGGGGCTAAAAGCCCCTTTTAAAATGGGATAAATGCGTGAGAACTTTGGTTATAATTTCCTGAGCCAGGAATGCCCGCCATCAGAGACAGAAATTCAGAAGCAAATGACTTGTTAAGTATTCCACTTTGTCAAATGACTTAATAAGAAAGCCACTATAAGTGCAGAGGTTCTCAAAATTTAATGAGAAGAATCATCTATATGTTTACAGTGCAGATTATTAGGCCCCACCCCCAGAGATCCTGGTTTAGTATATTGGGGGTGGGGCTCAGGAATGACAATTGTTATCAAGTGCCCTCAGTGATTCCACTGTAGGTGGTCATCAGACCACACACTGAGAAAGGCTACGATGACGATGACGGAAAGAGCCCAGAATTTTGGATTTTAGAAACCTCACTGCATGCTAAATAGCATTGAAACTTGGGCAGCTTTTTAAAAGTCCCTGAGCTACAAATTCTTTAACTATTAATAGGAGACAATAATACATATACCAGACTACTAGAGCATCAGGCCATGTATCCATGGAATGGAAGATTTAATGAAGTTGTGTGAACATGTCACTGGGTTTGGCAGCTAGCTGTGTTGTAGAGAAAGGGTGGAGCTGAATTCAATCAATACCACGTTTATGAACAAATATATAAACCCTCAAACCACCATACAAATACCCAAATACCTCTGACAAACATAATTTATCATAAAGAATGAAATAATTACAAAGAATTACATTATGTTAGTACATTTGCAAACTTAGTTAAAATAGATGCATTTCAGGAAAAATATAAATTAACTAAATTGACTCAAGATAAAATAGCAACTAAAATAAACCAGTAGCCATTAAAGTTAGACTGCAACAAAAATGACCCCTATATAAAGCAAAAATAAGATCAGATGTAAACATGCTAAATAAATATTAACATGAAGATTTCAGCCATGTTAAAAACAAGACACCATAAGCAAATAATGTTTACTTAGGAAGCAGGGAGGTTCACCACAGTAAAATCTATTATATAGTGTACTACACTAATAAGAGAAACAATAAACAACTATCTCAATGGATGTAGAATAAACATTTAAAATGTTCAGCATCCATTCAAGGTGAAAATGAAAAAAAATCTCATAATCAACTCTGATTAGGAAGAAAATCTCTTAACCTGTTGAAAATATCTGTCAAAACCTACCAAACACAATACTTACAGTGAAACAATAGAACCATTTCTGCTTTTAGTCAATATTGTATTAAGAGCCCTAAATAATACAATGTGAAGAAAGAAAAGAACATACAAATTATAAAGGAATAAAGATAACTGTCCTTATTTGTAGACAATATAATTGTCTTGTAAACAGTCCCAAGAGATTCATAGACACTGTGTTAGATCTAATTAATTAATTCAACAAAGCTGATAGATACAAGATATACATAAATCAAATATACTTTTACACAAATGCAAAAATTAGAAAACATAATAGAAAAAGAAAGATTTCATTCAAATAGTGATTAAGAACTTTATATTATATAGGAATAAGTATAATGAAAATATATTTATGTTCATATTAAGAAAATTATAGGGAATTATTAAAGGATATAAAGAAAACTTGAATAAATGAACATGTATATTAAGCCTACAGTTGAATAGACCCAATATACTAAAGTATGTCAGTTCTCCATAGTTAGTTTATAAATTCAAGTCACTCAAAACCAAATCTTAGTGGTATTTCTTTACTAAATTGAAAGGGCCAAAAATAACTAAGAAAAAGTTGAAAGAACATAACAAAGTGCTGGTACTTGCTCTACCCAATATTAAGCTTTATTATTAAGCCCTAGTAATTAAAACCATGCGGTATTAGCACAAGCTCATAGGCAGACCAATGAAAATAATACAGAGTTCAGAAACAGAATCATGCATATAGAAACGTCATATATGACAACTGCAGCATTGTAGACCAATAAAGTAAAAAATGATTATCCCAATAAATAGTATAAATGCAATTGTATATACTTTCAGATAAAAAAAATAAGTTTCCTACCTCATACCATATGCAAAAATTTATTGGAAGTGAATTAAAGTCATAAATATGAAAAGTAAAACTCTAAAACTTTTGAAGAAACCATAGCAAAGAGTTATTAAAAAATACAAAAAAAACCTATGAACCATGAAAATTTACATAGTTATCCACATTTAAAATTTTAAAAAATTATTAAACAAAATACAATGTAAAGTGAGAAGAGTAACAAGATATTTGGAGTAGATATATGCAATAATATAATTAGCAAAAAATTAGTACAAGAATATTCAAAATATCCATATAAATTGACATGAAAAAGAAACTCTTAAAAATTGTCCAAAGATATAAGTAGAAGCAAAAATGGCCAAGAAACTTAGAAAAAGATGTTTAATTGTATTAATAATCAGAGATATGTAAATTAAAGCCACATTTATATAGTATTTTATATCCAGATTATCAAATATTAAAAAGCTTGTCATTTCTGAATATCTGTTTCTGGTTATGATAGAGTAGCTAAGAACAGACTTTATCACTATGAAAAACTAGAAAGATAGTCAAATGAAATTATTTAAAATGTTTTATGTTTAGCAACTGCAAACCAACTGTTTTAGTAGAGAGCTCTTAAAGGCAAAGAAACGTTCCAGAGGGATGAGAGCTATGTAGAGGAAAAGCTCCAGAAAATTACACAGAGATGCCTTTTACTGTATTGCTCAGTATAAATTTACTGATGTGTAGAGTGAAATTATATGAATAAGGGCAAAGGGGCCGGGTGTGGTGACTAACACCTGTAATCCCAGCACTTTGGGAGGCCAAGGTGGGCAGATCATGAGGTCAAGAGATCAAGACCATCCTGGCCAACATGGTGAAAACCCGTCTCTGCTAAAAAAAAAAAAAATAAAAAAATTAGCTGGGCGTGGTGGCACGCACCTGTAGTCCCAGATACTTGGGAGGCTGAGGCAGGAGAATCACTTGAACCCGGGAGGCGGATGTTGCAGTGAGCCAAGACTGCACCACTGCACTCCAGCCTGGCGACAGAGTGAGACTCCATCAAAAAAAAAAAAAAAAAAAAAAAAGGCAAAGGACAATTGTGAATGTGCAAGCTGAGAAATTCTCAAAGCTCATATAGAGCTGGGGGATTCCAAGCACCAAACAGAATGAAAAGTCATAATGTCATACCTGGATCATTTGCTTGAGACCCAGAAAGAGTTATGCCTTAGTCTAAGGACTAAATTATACCCAGGGTAAAAGAATACCTTGAAACTTTAAAAAATAAAACCTCAAATAATAATGCTAATCTGAAAGTAACATTTATCGCAGAATAAATCAGAAAATATTGCTAATCTGAAAGTAACCTTTATTGCAGATAAATCAGAAAATTCTTCTTTTTTTTTTTAGATGGAGTTTCACTTTTGTCACCCAGGCTGAAGTGCAACAGCACATGATCTCTGCTCACTGCAGCCTGCGCCTTCCAGGTAAAAGTGATTCTCATGTTTCTCCTGCCTCAGCCTCCCGAGTAGCTGGTATTACAGGCACCCACCCCCAGGCCTGGCTAATTTTTGTATTTTTTTAGTAGAGACAGGTTTTCACCATGTTGGCCAGGCTGATCTCAAACTCTTGACCTCAGGTGATGCACCCACCTTGGCCTCCCAAAGTGCTGGGATTACAGGCATGAGCCACCGCACCCAGCCTGAAAATTCTTTAAAGGAAAAAAACAAACCCACACTCAACAATGTGATAATCATAACAACCATCAGCCTATCAAAAATTGCTAGACTTCAGCACAGGAATTCAAGATTGCACTGAGCTATGATCACGCCACTGCACTCTACCCTGGGCAACACGGCAAAATCCTGTCACAAAAAAATAAAAAAAAAATTAATACAGAGGACCAAATGCAGGAAGATACAACCCATAATTGATAGAGGGAAAAAATCCAATAGAAACATACTCAGAAATGATAGATATGCTAGAATTAGCAGAGAATGAATTTAAAGAAATTATTATACCTGTGTCTACAAAAAATACAAAAATTCACCAGGTTTGGTGGCACATGCTTGTAGTCTAAGCTACTTGGGAGGCTAAGGTGGAAGGGTCACTTGAATCCAGGAGACAGAGGTTGCAGTGAGCCGTGATTGTGCCGCCACACTCCAGCCTGGACAACAGAGTGAGACTTTGTCTCAAAAAAAAAAAAGAGTTATACATAAGTGTGTGTATGTTTATATACACATGTCTGTGTGTATACACATGTGTGTATGTGCATGTAGCAGAGGTTTTAAAGAAAAACATAAACACAATGAAGAGAAAAATTGGAGATATAAAATAAAAATCCAAATGGAACTTCTGGGGATAAAAATGCCGTACCTAAAATTAAAATCTGATTGGATGGACTTCATAGCAGACAGAACATAACAGATTTTTAAAAAGCAGTGAATTTGAAGACGTAAGAACTATCAAGACTAAAGCACAGAGAGAAAGATTCAAGATTCAAAAAATAAACACAGCCTCGGTAACGTGTGGAGAAATATCAAGTGGTCCAAATAAGTTGCAGTTGGGAACTCAAAATGAATGAAAGGACCTCAAGACAGAAAACGAAATTTAAAAAATAATTACCATAATTTTTGCAAATTGGATGAAAACTAGAAACTCAAGAAAATTAAAGAATTTCAAAAGGATAAGAATAAACATGCATGTACACATACACAAAGGCATACTATCATCAAATTGCTAAAAATGAGTGACTTACTGTAAGAAGCTATGCAAACTAGAACACAATAAAATAGTATAATTAAAGAATAATAATAATTTTTTATTATACTTTAAGTTCTGGGGTACATGTGCAGAATGTGCAGTTTTGTTACATAGGTATACATGTGTCATGGTGGTTTGCTGCACCCACCAACCCGTGATCCACATTAGGTATTCCACCTAATACTATCCCTCCCCTAGCCCTCCAGCCTCCAACAGGCCCCACTGTGTGATGTTCCCCTCCCTATGTCCATGTGTGCTCATTGTTCAGCTCTCACTTATGAGTGAAAACATGTGGTGTTTGGTTTTCTGTTCTTGTGTTAGTTTGCTGAGAATTATGGTTTCCAGCTTCATCCATGTCCCTGCAAAAGACATGAACTCATCCTTTTCTATGGCTGCATAGTATACCATGGTAGGACTGAAAGAAAAAAAATCTATCAACACAGAATTCTGTAACTAGTAGAAATGTCTATCAAAAGTGAAGGTAAAAATTTTTTTTCAGGTAAGCAAAAGCTGAAAGAATGTGTTTCCAGCATACTTCAATGACAAGAAATGTTAAAGAAAGTTGTTCAGGTACAGGGAAAATAATATCAGATGGAAACTTGGATCTGCAAAAATAAAGAAAAGGCAACAGAGATGGTAAATATATTTTTATATAGAAAATATTTTCTTATGAAAATTTAGAGAACACATAATGTATTTTGGAATTCATAAAGTATATATAAATAAAGTATATGACAACGATGGAAAAGCACAGGAGCAACATAAGAGAAGTATGCAGTTTTAAGGAGCGTACATTAATTGTGGAGTGGTATAGTATTATATAAAGTTAGGCTAATGATGAGATGAAGACTCATTTTGAAAACCTTATAGCAACCACAAAAATAAATAAGATGAAGCTGGATGGCTAATATTCCAATGATGGAGATAAAATATGTATTAGGGTTCTCTGGAGAAATAGAACCAATAGGGTGTGTGTGTGTGTGTGTGTGTGTGCGTGCGTGTGTGTGTGTGTGTAAAGTGATTTATTTTAAGACATTGGCTCATTTGAATTATGGAAGCTAAACAGTCCAAAATCTGTAAAGTGATCCAGCAGTAAGCCTGTCCAGCCTGGGCAACAGAGAAAGACCCTGTCTCTAAAAAGAAAAAATTACAAACACAGAGATAGATTGGAAGTAAAAAGACAGAAAAGGATATACCATAAAAATACTAAGCATAAGAAAGCTGCAGTGCCTATATTAGTAACAAAGACTTCAGAACAAGAAATATTACCGAGGATAGAGAAATTTCATAACAATAAAGCGGTTAATTCATTAATAATTCATAACGCCTAAATGTGTATGCACCTTATTTTAAAACTTTGAAATACATAAGCAAAAACTTCAAAACTTCTCTTGACGCAATTGATAAAACAATAAATAGAAAACTAGTAAGGATATAGAAGGTTTGAAAAACATTTTCAATGAATTTGTCTTCATTTACATTTATAGAATACTGCACCCAACAACAACATAATATACATTCTTTCCAGGTGTGCATAGAAATTCACCAAGATAGAATATATGCCAGCCTGTTTAACAATTCTTAAAAAAATTTTAAAGGATTAAAATCATACAGAATATTTTCTCTGGGTTCAAGAACTAAATTAGACACCAATAACATAAGATGGCTTTATAAATCCCCAAATATTTGGAAATCAAATAATACAATTTAAAAATAGCCCATGAACAAAAAAAATCAAAAGTGAAATTAAGAAATACTTTGAACTGCATATAAACTTTTAAAAAGCATCAGTTTTATGAGATCCAGCTAAAGCCCTGTGACAGGTCTAAGATTTAACCCTGTTACGAAAGCTAGTAAGTGAGTCAGCTATGGTTTGTAGATACTGACAGAAGCCTCATGATTCTTGGGTAAGAGATCAAGGACAGAAACAGTAGTAAACAGAATATCAACATTTTTCTTGTTCCAGTTCCCTGACTACCAATCCTCATAATGTGATACAAGTAAGAATTTAGTGACACACTTACACATAGTGGGGTGAAGTACAAAAGAGAAGCCCTGGCCTAGAGAACTTGCATCTTTTATAATGATCAGCAAGCACATCTGTCCTTTGCTTCAGAAGCAGACATTATCCCTAACTTTTAAGGCTGTAAACAAAGCCACCCTTTGCTTTGGAGGAAGATGCTTCCTCTATCTTGTAAGACTATTAGATAAACATACTTGAAAAGACAGTTTCAAAAAAAAAAAAGCCATCAATGCCATTTGCAAGAAATACAGAGATGTTAGAGATCTTGGGAGAATTGTCCCCTAACGTGCTTAGAGTGAAACTTTTAATTTAAATACTACATCACCAAAAATCTAAAATTAATCATCTGAGTTTCCATCTTATGAAGCTAAAACAAAAAGCAAATAAATCCTGAGTAAGTAGAAAGAAAAAAAAGTAGAAATCAATAGAATGGAAAATAAAGAATAGATAAAATTAATAAAACCTAAAGCTGTTTGTTTTAGATGGTCAATAAAATTGATAAGCCTCTAGCTACAGTGATCAAGAAAAAAAGAAGGAAGACACAAATAGTCAATATTAGGCATGAAAAAGGGGACAACACTATAGATCCTACAGACATGAAAAAGGACAAAAAGGGAATATTAGAAACAATCTAATAAATTAAACAACTTTGATGAAATGGCCAAATTCCTTGAAAAACACAAATTACCAAAATGGACTAAGAATGAATAGAAAATCTGGATATCTTGAAATCTATTAAATAATATACATTTATAGTTAATAATCTATCCACAAAGAATCTTGATGCCCAAATGGCTTCTCTGATAAACTCTATCAAATATTCAAGGAAAAAAATAATACTGATCCCATATAAAATTTTTCAGAAAATAAAGAAGAATTAAACACTTCTCAGTTCATTGTATGGGGCTAATATTACCCTTATGGAGAAACCAGACAAAAATAATTCAATAAAAGAAACTACATTGTGCTAAGTGAAAGAAGTTAGACATCATGGGTGCAAGCTGTATGATTTCATTCAAATGAAATTCTAGAGAAGTCAAAACTAACATATAGTGACAGAAATCAAATGAATGGTTTCCTGGAGCGAGGACTGAGAGGGAGCATTGATGTGAAAAGTTCATAGAAAATTTGCAGGGGTGGGGGCGATAAAATTGCTCCAAATTTGGATTGTGATGGTGTTGTTCATAGAAGTGGATACATTTGTCAAAACTCACCAAATTGTTTCCCTGAAATAAGTTCATTTTGTTATAAATTTTACTTCAAGTAAAAATTGATTTTTAAAAATTTAGTTGAGTTTTTAAAAATTTAATAAGTCTAAATATAAACGAACATATGAGCAATCAAATGTTCACATACTTCTGATTGTAATGTCAGTTGGTCTATTTATTTAAGAGTATTACTTGGTCATATCGAGTTGAAGATGAACATGTTCTTTGACTCAGCAACGTGCACACATGAACAAGAAATCATGTACAAGAAAGTTTATTGCATTATTGTTTAAAAAGTAAAATAGGAAGCAACCTAAATGCCCATTAAAAAGGAAATGGAAAATAAATTATGGCGTATTCTTCTAATTAAATGGTATTCTGTAGTTAAAAATCGTTGCCTAAAGTTACATATTTTAACAGGACAAATTTTAAAAACAATGTTAAAGGATAAAAGCGATTGACCAAATATGTGCAGTACAATACCATTTATGTAAAATTTGAAAGCATACAAAAAAGGCTATACGTTTTTATGAATGTATCCTTATATAGTATTTGTATGAAAGCATGGGAATAATACAAAATTCAGAAATAAAGAGGGATAACAGGACTTCAACTGTATATTTTTATTTTTTCGTGAATAAGAAAATGCTGATGCAATAATGAAATGAAAATGAAAGAATTTTCTAGAATCCAGAAAATAAGATAATTAATACATAGGCATTTATGTGATTTTTTCGATTGACTCTATTTTTGAAATTGTAATAATAAAAAGTACAATGTTTAAAAAATAAAGTTATCTTTGAATTAATGAAAAAAAAACCTCGACAAATTTTGACCATCATTTTAATTTCATTCATTCTTTTTTTTATACCTTTGATCCACAAGTAATTTCAAGCATCTACTAGATGTCAGCTACCAAGCTGAGCATTCGTAATACAAAAATATATGTATACAATGTGTTTTTTGCCCTTTAGTATCTCACAGTCTAGCCAGGTAAGTAAATATACCACCGAAATAGATATGGAAACTACTATAATTGAGCAAAAGTGTCATACTGATATAGATAAGAGAGTAATGCATTTTACACAGTAACTTTGAGTGAGCAATTGCAAGATGATTGGAGTTTAGCAACAAAGAACAGTATGTTTAGAGAAATTGAGGCATAACATGGTATGGCATTTCATTTACTGAGGCTAAGGGAGGATGTGAGGTAAAATGGTGATAAGGAATAAGGCTTGAAAATGTTAGGAATTGATTGAATAATGGATTGGAGAGCTTGGACTTCATATTTTTGTCTGCTGACAGTTACAGGAGGTGTATAAAGCAAAAAAGGGGCATGATTAGGCTTGTGTATCAGAAACATAACTTTGACCATCTGCTATATGGAAGATGAAGTGGGACTGGATTGAGGAAGGGGAAGAAGGTGGACATGGATATGGAGTGACTCATTACAAATCAACTGAAATAATCCAGGGTGGGGTCATGAGGGCCTGAATTGAGGTACCTAGAATTTAAGTGGTGAAGAATATCTTTTTTAAAAATCAGAAGTTATGTGTGTGAACCCATGCTCTTCCAATCACTCAGCATTTATCCTTGAGCAAGTTGCTTCACTGTTCTAGGCTTTAGGAAGATCTGTAAAATGGAAACCACCAATGATAAGAGCTTTTCAGGGAAAGTCAAGCTTGTGCCATCTTAGAACTTTGTGACCTGCTCCAAATATCTGTTCCCTCCGCTGGAAATCTCTTTACCTGCATCTTCACATGGTTGACTCCTGCTTGTGTTTCAGATATGGAAGCATTCTACCTCTTCAGTAATGGGGCTTTCTCTCACCTCCCAATCAAACAGCTTCCTTGGTCACTGTTTTTACTACATCACTTGAAAATTTGTTTCTCAATAGAAATTTATTAATAACCAAAATTTACTTAACTACTCTTTGCCTTTTCATTCATCTATATGCCACTAGAAGGAAAGCTTTGTGAAAAAAAGAGACTTTACCTGCCTTATATCCAACCATACTGCCAGTGTCTAAAACCATGCTCATTAAGTACATTCATTAAATATTAGTTGAGTGTTGAATATAATAAACCCATTTTTAATAAATGCCATGAGAGTTGCCTAAAATCACACAACTAATAAATAGTAGAAAAAAATGAAAATCCTTGTCTTCTGATTTCCTGGTTCACTGATCTTTCCATGCATAACATCTGATCTCTTACCTCATAGGACCACTGGGGGGATCGAATGAGAAGATAAGTTTTCCAAAAATACAAGGCTCATGATTTAGAAGTTGCCCAAAAAGGAAACAATGACTCAGTGCCTCTAGAGGCTGAGACCAATTCACAAAAGACTCTATATGGGCTGTGTCCAACCTAAGAAGTTTGGAAAAGGTCATTCTTTGTTTCTGCTGCTATGTTAAGGCTAGCATTAGGTGTTGTTGTGAACTAGATAGAGATGTGTGATATAGGAGGCAGGTAGATGGGGCAAAGGAAGTAGATACGGGTCTGTCTTACTAAAGGCAAGCAAAGTTTTGAGGTAGGCAGGATTCCCAATTGCTCACATATGATATATTTTTCTCTTTTGGTTTTGACTAAAAGGTTGTATATCCTTTTGGATTTCTTCCTCTTAAAGGACTAAAGAGATAAAATCTATTTGTGTCTGACAAAGAGAAAAGATACAGTTGTCAATGGATGACTAATAATTAAATTTGTTTGATGAAATATATCTATGCAACTATCACTTACTCATCCATTATTTATGGAATTATAAGTGAATTAATTAATGATTAAACACTGCCAAACACTATGCTTGTTTGCTAGGCAGGATGATAAAGAGGTAAACAAAATAGATATGGACTTTAGGGAACTTGAAGGTAAATGAGAAGCTATATTAAACAAATGCAAGTGTGATGAGTTTCTGTCTTGTTGAGTTGACCCTAGAAGAATCCCTTCTTCTCAATAAAACTCAGGGCTAAACAATAAAAGATAACTATGAAAGTTTTTTTTCTTGTTATGTTTGCATTAAACATGTAGGAATATTATTATAGGAAAATATCTGGCTGTGGTAGTTGTGGTGACTCAAGTCCAGGTGTTAATGGACTCTGCTGTTGAGATGCAGTTGATTTTCAAAAGTGACTTTTCTCAATCCAGTAAACTAAGTCAGCAGGACCCTTAGTAATGGCGTCTAAGTGACAATACTCAGTAGAATTCTTTTCTGGATATTTCCAGAGGGCTGAGGCTTTGTGCAGGGTCTTTATTTGTAGCTGATTTTGCTGGTTTTTTTTTTTTTAGCATTTGGTTTCATGGAGGGTATGTTATCAAAGCATTTTTTGGGGGAGTGGGGGCTGGAGGGGCAACTCCATCACCCAAGCTGGAGTGCAGTGGCATGATGGCATGATCATGGCTCACTGCAGCCTTGAACTCCTGGGCTAAAGCCATTCTCCCACCTCAGCCTCTTGAGTAGCTGGGACTACAGGCCAACTATCAACACACCCAGTTAAATTTTGTATTTTTTTGTAGAGATGGGTTTCCATATCTATATATCTATATATCTGGTCTCAAACTCCTGAGTGCCAGTGATCCACATGCCTTGGTCTCCCAAAGTGCTTGGATTACAGGCATGAACTAATGAACCTGGCCAACAAAGTATTTTTAATGTCGACTTTTTGGAGCATTATCCAGTAGGTGGCGTTTAAGCATAATGTTCCCTATGTAGGCTCTTGCTGAGTCACATAGCCTACCTACTGACCACTGTGCTTAAGAAGAGATTGAGGGCATAGTCTCAATATTCTTCAAGAAAAAAATTTCCAACCAAGAATTTAATATCCAGCCAAACTAAGCCTCATAAATGAAAGAGAAATAAGATCCTTTTCAGACAAGCAAATGCTGAGAGATTTTGTTACCACAAGACCTGCCTTACAAGAGCTCCTGCAATATGGAAAAGAAAGACCATTGCCAACCAATACAAAAACACACTTAAGTACACAGATCAGTGACACTGTAAAGCAACCACACAAGCAAGTTTGCATAACAACTAACAACAAGATGACAGGATCAGATCCACACATATTAACACTAACCTTGAATGTAAATGGGCTAAATGCCCCAATTAAAGGCATATATGAAAATCTGGATAAAGAAGCAAGACCCAATGGTATGCTGTCTTCAAGAGCCTTTATTGAACCTATGGGTGTCATTACATGCAATGGGAATAAATGGAAATAAAGGAATGGAGAAAAATCTACCAATCAAAAGGAAATCAGAAAATGCAGGGGTTGCAATCAGACAAAACATACTTTAAACCAACAAAGATAAAAAAAAAGACAGAGAAGGGCATTACATGATGGTAAAGGGTTCAATTCAATAAGAAGGCCTAACTATCCTAAATATATACATCCAACACAGGAGCACCCAGACCCATAAAGCAAATTCTTAGAGACCTATGAAGAGACTTAGAATCCTACACAATGAGAGTGGGAGATTTCAACACCCCACTGAAAAGTATTAGAGAAATCATCAAGGCAGAAAATTAACAAAGATATTTAGGACCTGAACTCAACACTTGACCAAATGTACCTAATAGACATCTACAGAACTCTCTATCCCAAAACAACAGAATGCACTCTTCTCAACACCACATGGCACATACTCTAAAATCAACCACACAATGATACATGAAACAATCTTCAGCAAATTCAAAAAAAATCAAAACTATACCAACCACACTCTTGAATCCCAGAGCAATAAAAATAGAATTTAACTGAAGAAAATTGCTCAAAACCATGCAATTACATGAAAATTAAACAACCCACTCCTGAGTGACTCTTGGGGAAATAATGAAATTAAGGCAGAAATCAAGAAGTTATTTGAAACTAATGAGAACAAAGATACAACATACCAGAATCTTTGGGACACAGCTACAGCACTGCTAAAAGGAAAATTTATAGCACTAAATGTCCACATCAAAAAGTTAGAAAGATCTGAAATCAACAACATAAAATTACAACTACAAGAACAAGACAAGCAAGAGCAAGTCAACACCATAGCAAGCAGAAGACAAAAAATAACCAAAATTAGAGCTGAACTAAAGGAGATTGAGACATGAAATAAAACATACAAAAGATCAACAAAACCAGGAGCTTGTTCTTTAAAAAAAATTAATAAGATAGATAGACCACTAGCTAGACTAATAAAGAAGAAAAGATCCAAATAATCACAATTAGAAATGACAATGGGAACATTACCACTGACCCCACAGAAATACAATAACCACCGGAGTCTACTATGAACACCTCTGTGAACACAAACTAGAAAGTCTAAAAGAAATGGATAAATCCCTGAACACATACACCCTCCCAAGACTGAATCATGAAGAAATTGAGACCAATAATTGACTCTGAAATTGAATTAGTAATAAATAGCCTGCCCACATAAAGAAAGCTTAGGACCAGACAGATTCACAGCCAAATTCTACTGGATGTACAAAGAAGAGCTAGTACCATTCCTACTGAAACTATTCCAAAAATAGTTTTGGAGGAGGGACTGAGGAGGAGGGACTCCTCCCAAACTCATCCTATGAGGCCAGCATCATCCTGAGACCAAAACCTGGCAGAGACACAACAAAAAAAGAAAATTGCAGTCCAATATTCTTGATGAACATAGATGTGAAAATCCTCAACAAAATACTAGCAAACTGAATCCAGCACCACATCAAAAAGCTAATCCACAATAATCAAGTAGGCTTTATGCCTGGGATGCAAGGTTCATTCAAGACATGCAAATCAATAAATGTGATTCATCACATAAAAAAAACTAAAGACAAAAACCAAGCGATTATCTCAATAGATGCAGAAAAGGACTTTTGATAAAATACAACATTCATTTATGTTAAAAACCGTCAATAAACTTGGCAATGAAGGAACATACTTCAAAATAATATGAGCCATCTATGACAAACCCACAGCCAACATCATACTGAATGGCCAAAAGCTAGAAGCATTCCACTTGAAAATTAGCACATGACAAGGAAATCCTCTCTTACCATTCCTATTCACAGTATTGGAAGTCCTGGTCAGAGCACTAAGGCAAGAAATAAAAGACTTCCCAAATGGGAAAAGCACAATGAGATACCATTTTCACACCAGTTAGAATGGTATTATTAAAAAGTAAAATATAATAGATACTGTTGAGGTTGTGGAGAAAAGGGAACACTTATACACTGCTGATGGGAGTGTAAATCAGTTCAACCATTGTGGAAAGCAGTGTGATGATTCCTCAAAGAACTAAAAACAGCATGACAATTTAACCCAGCAATCCTGTTACTGGGTATACACCAAAGGAATATAAGTTGTTCTGCCATAAAGACACATACACACACATACATTCATTGCAGCCCTATTCACAATAGCAAAGACATGAAATCAACCTAAATGCCCATCAGTGGTAGACTAGATAAAGAAAATATGGTACATATATACCAAGGAATACTATGCAGCCATAAAATGAATGAGCTCATGTCCTTTGTAGGAACATAGATGGAGCTGGAAAACATTATCCTTAGCAAACTAACACAGGAACAGAAAACCAAATACTGCATGTTCTCACTTATTAGTATGAGTTACATAATGAGAACCAATGGGCACAAAGAGGGGAACAATAGGCTCTGGGCCCTACTTGAGGGAGGACTGTGAATGGAGGGAGAGGATCAGGAAAACTACCTATTGAGTACTCTGCTTAGTACCTGGGTGATGAAATAATCTGTACTCCAAACTGCATGACATGAGTTTATCTTTATAATAAATGTGCACATGTACCCCTGAACCTAAAACAAAAGTTTTTTTTAAAAAAGGAAATATTGGCCAGGCCTCGGTGGCTCACGCCTGTAATCCCAACACTTTGGGAGGCTGAGGCGGGTGGATCACTAGGTCAGGAGTTCAAGACCAGCCTGGCAAAGATGGTGAAACCCCATCTCTACTAAAAATACAAAAATTAGCCAGATGTGGTGGTGGGCACCTATAATCCCAGCTACTCAGGAGGCTGAGGCAGAGAATTGCTTGAACCCAGGAGCCAGAGGTTGCAGTGAGCCAAGATCGTGCCATTGCACTCCAGCCTGGGAGACAGAGCGAATCTCTGTCTCAAAAAAAAAAAAAAAAAAAAGAAAAAAAAAAGAAATATTATTATAAAGAAATTTTATTTTAATACAAAAGTTTGAATTTTGGAACCAATCCTAAATTTGAGATGTACTTAGCTTTTATATGTATGTGTATACATATATGTTTGTGTGTATCATTTTTTGTTGGGAAGATCCAGTCCCTGAATGTGGACTGCTTCCAATTTAATTAGGTATTCTACTGGGTTCCTGTTCCTTAGCTTATCTAATCAGATAAAAGTGAGGATAAAAGTGATAAGAATGAGATATGCACTAGGTCTGCACTCTTATGGGGCCAGTTGGGATGGAGTAATAGAGGTCAGGTAGTGGCACTAAACTGCCAGAAACCAGGAGTTTGAGGTTACCATAATAATTGCTGCATTATTTCAGCCAAAGGGGCTTAAGCCATACAGGATTGTGGACATGATTAACAGAAAACTACATTGTTAGTGGCAAAATAGATAGTCAGTCAATGAATGTTCTGCTTAATAGATATAAGGCAATGATAGCAAAAATAGAGGAGCAAGAGGTTGGAGGAGTTTGTCCTAGTCCTTTTCCTACTTCTCATACTTGGCTCAATTCCCAAGAGGAAGGGTCCTGCCACACCACAACACATATATACTGTGATAGTTTCCAGGCCTTCCTCAAAGACAACTCTAGCCATTTACTTAGTTGACTGGGGAAAAGGGGAACTCTAAGAAATAGAGAGAGTTCTTACAGATCCCCTTTGACAGTGATAGCATATAAGGGCCCTGGAAATGGAATCCTGGCCAAAGGTTGGTTAATAAACCATCCCACATGGTTTTTATTTCCTCAGTCCCTGAATGCATAAATGGAATTGGCATACTTGGCAGTTAGAGTAACCACCACATTGGGTCTGTGAAGAAGGAGCTATTATAATGGTGAATCCAAGGAGAAGCTTCTGACATATGTGCCTCTCACCCTGACTAAGATAGTAAGTCAAAAACAATATCACATCTCCATGGGGGTTAGAAGATTAGTGTTACTCCCAGGGATCTCAAGGACATAGGGGTAGTGGATCATACCATATTGAATTCACCAATACGGCCCCTGCCGAAACCAACGGATCCTAGAGAAGGACTATAGACTGCTGCAAGCTCAGTCAGAAAGTAACCCTAATGCTGCTGCTGTGTTAGATATGGTGTCTTTGATTAAGATTAACAAGGTCTCAGGAGCTTTGATTTGGCAAGTGTGTCTTTTTATATATATTCCAATCAGAAAAGGCAATTTTGAAACTTTGGCCTTCAAATGAAAGAGACAAAATATTCATGTGCAATGTTGCCCCAAGCCCGTGTTAATTTGTGCATTGTCTATTATAATACAGCCCAAAGAGATCTACACCTCCTGGACATCCCATGGAACATCATATTGGAGCATTACATTGGTAACATCATAGGGATCTAGCAAAATGATCAAGAAGTATCCAGCACACTTGAGGCCATGGGAAGACAAAGGTGCTCCAGACGGTTGGAAATAAAACCTACAAAAATTCAGAGATCTGTCAGTGTAATTAAGTTCTTAAGAGTTCAGTGATCAGGGGCATGCTGGGACATCTCTTCCAAAAGACAAAGTGCCGGGTCTTATATCTGCTACCATACAGTAGGAAGCAAAACACTTGGTGGGATTCTTCGGGTTCTAAGGGCACACCTAGGAATAATGCTCTGGACATATACCAGGTGACTTGAGAGGCTGCTGGCTCGATGATGGAATGTCAAGTAACCAATGGATGTGGGCTTTACCTTAGGGGGGCTCAAAGGTAAGTGGAGAAGACAGGTACTAAATGAAAGCAAGTGTGATGAGCACAGGTCTCATTAGGGTAATAATGCTGGGGAAATCCCCTCTCTTTAATGAGACAGTGTTACCCATAAAAGATAACTATGAAAGAGGGCGTATGTCTAGGATTGCCCCCGAGTCATTAGACATGAGCAGCCCTGGGAAAGGTTTGACCTTGGGGAAGGTGGCTCTCTGCAGCTGACATAATCCCTGAGGGAGCTGACAGTGCCCCCAGCAGCTGGGACAACAAATCCTTTTTTGAAGGGGAGATATAGACAGCACAACTCCATACTTATAACATCCAGTATGGTATAATCACTTAGAGCCAGGACATAACAGTTGAATAGACTTAAAGTGGAAAACTGACTCCAGGACTTTCTAAATGTGTTAGTTCGGGAAAGTTGTTTAAGCTCTCAGTTTTATCATTTGTAAGGTGAGAATAATAATAATAATACTTAGATTACAGAGCCATTGTTACATATGAAGGGGGTAATAATATACTAAGAACTTAGCACCGTGCTGCACCCAGCTATGATTGTTATCATTAATTATTTGTAAACCAAGATTGAGCAGTCAAAATAATGCATGTGTCAGCTATAATCATGATTAATTATGCCCAGATTATTTCTCCTTTTGTTTCCTTCTAATTTTCTTCTGAATGTTTTCAAAGTCCCCATGTGGCTTTCTTTTAATAAATGTTTGGCACTGAGGAGAAAGGTAAGATTGGTGGAGGATTAAAAAGGGAAAATTCTTTATTGTGTTTGCTCACTGTATCAGTAGCCCTAGCAACTCAGATACAGATCAGCTCTGTGAACACCCCACTTCTATTTAGATTTATGCTGCACAGTTTACAGACATGTATCAGAGTGAATGCCCTAGTTTTCTTCCTGTTGTAACACTCTTCTAAGACACCTAAATATTCTCATTGACAGCTTCCACTTGCTGGAGAATATGACCAAATCTAATTTTTTCATGAATATGGGTGTGTTTTCATTTCTCCTTCCATAAAGGAAAAATAGAACAAGAAAATGGAGGAAAGCTAGCATATGTTATTTCTTTGCTGCCATCTGAAACAGCCAAGCTGAGAGCCAATTTATTCAGCTTAATTCATTCCAGATTTCTCAAGGAATAAACAGTATTTCTGAGAGTTCTCAGATGTATGGCCAATAGAGATCCAATTGCCCCGGAGAGCTAATGTCGAACATGCAGGTACCCCTCAGTCAGAGCACAAGGCACAAGGGACCGGGGGTGAAGCTAAGATACTTTCTGGGAAGCCCCTGAATCTCCAGGGCTGTGTGATGTGACAACAGCTTTGCAGACCTAAAGCCTTGACTTAGGAGAGCCCATTAGGGTCCCTGGAAGCAATATTATGTTTCATTGCTCAAACTCAAACAAATCTGCAGAGAGAAAGGGTTTCTCAGAGAAACAAAAGGAACGTTATTCATGCCCTTTCTCTATGAGTCTCACATATCCTTCAAGACTCCTGAAAAGCCCTACATTTTCTATAAAGCCTTCCTAGATGATTCTAGACTGTGCTGATAAAGGATTCCTATAGGAGTTGTCCCAAATTCCATTTTTCAGATGAGGAAATAGAGACTTTGCTGTTCTATGAACACCCATTGTACTGAGATCCTGCAACACCTAATGCTAAAGTATACAGAAGAAAGAGTATGTCCTCTGAAGGTATATGATTATGGGTTCCAATTTTGCTTCATTTGACTTGCTGTGTGAATTTGGGCAAGCCAGCTCTCTGTGCCTGTTTCTTCATTTTAAAAAATACAGAAAATAATTTCTAGGTCTCAGCTAACATGCATGAATGACAACTCATTATATTTATTTTTTCTTGCTTCACCAATATGAGCTTGGTTTCCTCCAGTACATTATAAGCTCCTTCAAGGAGTACTGGGCACCATAGTGAGCAGGCTAGTCTGTGTGCTGTTTGTACTCAGATCCATTCCTCACCCTTCTCCTGCTTTGCTTTGTATCACTGAGGATGACACTGGAAGACTGCATTTCCCAGGCTCCTGGTCAAAGAACTCCAGCTAGGTTCACGTTAGAGATGAAACAGAGAAGGAAAATGTCCAGTGCATCTATCCTGGCCCCTTTCTGACTCAGGTGGTATCTCTTGCTCTGGCTGTGTCTCCTCTCTGGTCACTAAACATGCTTTAATGGTTGTATTTTCCTCCAGGTGACTCTAAACCCTGGGCTCTGGCAATCTAAGTTTCTCTTTTGCCTCTGCGACTTAGTGAGTGATAGTGGTTTCCTACTATTGCTAATCTCTGGGTATCTCACTGCCCCCATGATTGGCTTCTTTGTTCTTCTTTCACCAGTGTAACCAGTTTCCTCTGTGCTTAATATTGAGTGCTTCCTGGTTGAACCCTGACTCGTAAACTGAGTATGGAGAAGGTACTCAATAAATAAGTGCTATGATTTTTTAAAGGCATTAAGGGGTCCTGCTAAATATAGATTGCTGGAAATCAGTGAATCCAAAGTATATATAAAGACCCAACATCTTCATGTTATAGATAAGGAAACTGAAGCCCAGAAAGGGGAAATGGCTTCTCCAAGGTAACACAACTAGGAAAACATGCAGCATGCATGCTCATGTGAAAGGCATTTCTATGAAAGCCATGAAGCAGATAATGTAGATTGTATGTTACTTGAGGACATGGATTCCTCTTGTATATTGACAGCTCTTAGCGTGTAACATGATATGGAGTAGATGCTCTGTAAAATGTTTGCCAAATGGAACTCACGAGCTGGCCATTGCAAACTTTTTGCAGTAACAAATAGAGAAGCAATAAAGACACTACTATATATTATAATACCCAGCTTATGTTTAAAATATTAGCATTAAAATTTGACATATACATATTCTGCCAATACTGTAGAAGATGAATGTTATAGATAGTTCAGAAAATAATTTCTCACATAAACCACAGAGCTGCTTTGTGGGGGTTGTAGGCAAAATCCATACATATTAGACTCGTTTTATAGTTGAGAGGTCTAAAGTTTTGGAACTTCAAGTGACTTGCTCAAAGCAAGGTCCCAATCTGAACTCAAATGGATGTTCTAATTTCAAAATGAATACTGTTTCAACTACACTACCCTGTGCTCCCTATCTAACATCTGAAGTAGATACAACATCTGGAAGTCATAATTTATTTAGCTGTTATGGCAGCATTAACCAGTTAGAAACATCCTTCTCAAACTGGGATACTTACAGTCACAGGGAGTACACGGGTTGTACTGAGGCTACTTGCGGCCAAAAAATAAGCCTGCTGGATCTTCCTGAACATGGAATTTGCTTGAAGATTTTGGTGAATATGTAAGTACTTTAAATCAATAATTATTTCACATTAAAACTAACATGCTAATGTATATAAAATTCTCACTTTATTATAAAACATGTATATTTATTATACAAATATATAGAAAATCGAATAGCATGTATTTTTTAGAGACAGAGTCTTGCTATGTTGCCCAGGCTGGTCTAGAACTCTTGGCCTCAAGCAATCCTCCTGTCTCAGCCTCCCAAAGCATTAGGATTACAGGAGTTAGCCACCGTGCCTGGCCATAAAAGCATTTTTGAGTTCATTGTTACAGCTTCAGGGCATTCCTACATTTCTGGGTATGTGTCTTCATTCTTCACTCCAGAGGTGTTTCATTAAGAGTTTAAGAAATATTACTATATCTGAAAAAAGTATCTTTTAAAAAATAACTCAAAGTAACACATGTACATAATTAACAAATCAAATAGTATTCAGGAATTATAATGAAACCCAACAGTTCTCTTCTTCATCCCCTTCCTATCCACCCTTATCTCCACTCCTACTCCCAGAAACAGTGATTTACTGTGTGCTTTTGTATTTTCCAATCTTTAAGTAATATATGTATTATTACTTCTTTATGAATCAACTTTAAATAATATCCATAAACTTTTGCCTATGAGAATGAGGATTTACCTTACTTAGACATCCCTAAAAATTTGACTTACCCTATGTGAACTTGCTTTTTCGTACTTTTAATGGTGGTTTTAGATGAATAATATATTGGTATTGTTGTGATCAGACTTGCCAGTCTATTTTTTGTTCCCTGCTTAAAAATACTCTTCCTACTTCAAAGTCATAAAGATATTTTTCTATATTATTTTTAAAAATTGTATTGCTTTCTATTTTTAATTTAGACCCACTAATCCACCTGGAATTTATTTCTAAATATAATATAGAGTAAGAAACAACTTTATATTTTCACAGAGTGAAAGACTATATTGACAGCATATATAAACCAACAAAGGCTCACTTTCATAATATATAACTAATAGCCACATATCAATAAGAAAAATGCTGAAAATCCAATAGAAGCATGCAAGGGTATAAAAAATGACTTCACTGAAAAGAATGTTCTAATTACCGATCAATATATGAAAAAGTACTTAATCTCATTTGTATACAGAAATAGAAACTAAAACCATAGTGAGAAACCATTTTCTATTATTGAATGACAAAAATTAAGTCTGACAACATTAATTGTTGTCAAGGATGTAGAACAATGGAGACTTTCTTGAACTGCTAGTGGTAGTATAAATTGCTAAAACCACTTCAGAAAACCATTTGACATATCTACTAAAGTTGAACCCACACAGAACCTATAAGGCAGCAATTCTATTTTTTTGGTATATACTCAACAGAAATGTGTGCATATAAGCACTGAGAGATGTGTACAAGAATTTTATAACAGTATTATCCATAATAGGCCCAGAATAAAAACAACCCAAAAGCTCGCAAACAGGAGAATTGGTTAATACATTATTTCAGCATATGTTTATATATGTTTTAGAACATGTTTATAGCAAAGAAATAGATAAATCTCACAAACGTAATCTTGAGCACAGGAAGCCAAACAGACACATGAGCACACACACACAAATGCGGTTTTGACCTACGCAGTTTGAAAAACACACAACATAAACTATAACGTTGGAGGAAAGTACAGAGGTTATCACTACTGTGTGGGGAGGAAACCACTATAATAAGTGTATTAATTTGCTAGGGCTGTCACAACAAAGTACCGCTTTGGGTGACTTAAACAACAGAAATGTGTTTTCTCACAATTCTGGAGGCTAGAAGTTTGAGGTCAAGGTTGTTGACCTGGTTGGTTTCTTTTGAGGCCTCTCTCCTTGGCTGGTAAATACCTGTGTTCTCCCTCTATATTCACATGCTCTTCCCTCTGTACATGTATGTGTCCTAATTTCATCTTCTTCTAAGAATATTAGGCATACTGGAGGAAAGCCCACCCTAATGAGCTCATTTTAACTGAATTGCCTCTTAAAGACCTTATCTCCAGATATGGTCACATTCTGAAGTACTGTGGGTTATGACTTCCACATATGAATTTGCGGGGACACAACTCAACTCATAGCTGTGAGGAAGGGGTCCGATCCTATTTCTGAGGGCTGGCAATATTTTGACTTCAGACCTGGATGCTGATGATCACATCACATAGGATTTAACCTAATGATAATGTATGGCAGGGAACATTTGTGTCCTTTTTTAGATATGTTATACTTCATGATACGAGGGTAAAAAACAGAGATACAATTAACACTATTAACTAGTCAGCTTTGAAAAAGCAAAAATCCCAAAGTCTCAGTAGTTTATAATAGAAAACATTTATTTCTCACTCACATTACTTCTTGGTGGCTTTGAATCTGCTGGGCCTAGACTGAAGAAACAGCCTTTATCTGGGACACGCCATCCTTATGAAAATTAATGAAAACAAAAGACTTGGTAGAAACACATGATGCCCATTAAAGCAAAACTTAAGTGTGAAATACATTAATTTGTAAAAACATTAGTGGCCAGGTGCGGTGGCTCACGCCTGTAATCCCAGCACTTTGGGAGGCTGAGGTGGGCGGATCAGGAAGTCAGGAGATCGAGACCATCCTGGTTAACACCGTGAAACCCTATCTCTACTAAAAATACAAAAAAATTAGCCAGGCATGGTGGTGGTTGCCTGTAGTCCCAGCTACTTGGGAGGCTGAGGCAGGAGAATGGTGTGAACCCGGGAGGCGGAGCTTGCAGTGGGCCGAGATCGTGCCCCTGCACTCCAGCCTGGGCGACAGAGCAAGACTCCGTTTCGGGGAAGAAAAAAAAAAATTAGTGATCATTTTTAAGCACACATCAATGGGGATGGGTATAGACTCCTTCCCTGGGTGAGAGGCACTGCAGTTCACTGGCAACACTTTAAGATGTAAAATCATCTTATAGAGACCAGGGGTCAAATAACTTGAGACAATAAAACAATCTACTACAAAAACTCAATAGAAAATTATAGATGTGGAAAACACTATTTGAGATGCAGACGCCAAATTTCTGATAGATCAGAATATTTAAATACTTTAAATACGAAACTGCAGGAAAAAACAAATTGGAGAATGTGTTTTAGAAAGTTGAACTAGGAAAAATCTAAGTTTGACTTAAAATTCTGAAGCCATAGATATGACTATATAAAAATAAAACACTTTGAGTTAGAAAAATCACAATACACAAAGTTAAAAGACAAATATTTGAAACTCAAATCATGGGCAAAGGGACAATTTTTCTGAGATGATGTGCTCTACAAGTTAATAGGAAAAGTTCTAACAACTTGGCATATTTTACCAAAAGAACATGAGAATATACCCATGTGTCATCTTTATTCCTAAGACCTGGACCATCCAGATGGATAGTTTCAAAAACAGAAATAAAAAAGTCTCAACCTCATGAAAAGGCCCCCAGCTGCATTTAGAATAAGTGCAAATTGAAACAACGATGAGACACCTTTTTTTACCTATCAGATGGGCAGAGATCACAAACATGCCAATCTGATAAGCAATGAACACTGTGAGCCCACAACTAGTCTTATATGTTGTTGAGAGGAGTATAAATTATTGCCCCAATCTCTATGGAAGGCAGTTTAGTAGTATCTCTAAAAATGTATTAAAGTATGTATCTTTTGAGTAAGCGGTTCCATTTCTAAATATGTATCCCACAGGTAACACATATACCAAAAAAAAATGTAGAAAGATATTTATTATAGCATTGTTTGTAAAAATTACAAAAGAGGAATAAAAACCTAAGTAGAATTCTATAAAGCACTGGAAAAATAAATTATAGTGCATCCATGCAACAGAATAACACACAACCATTAAAAGAATGGGACACTTCTGTGTTTACTGAAATGGTAATTCTCCAGCATATATGAGGTGAAAAAAGGGAAATGTAGAAAAATTTTCATAGAAGGCCACCTTGTGCGGAAAAGAAAATGAACAGACTGTCTGAAAACTATTAACTGGCTGATTGTGTCTAGGGAGAAAAGTTCAGTGAATGGGAGACAAGCAATGGAAGGAGTCTTTTTCTCTATTGTACCCTTTTAGTTTTGTATCATGTGCCTGAATTACCTAATTCTGAACAACAAACCAACCAGCAATCTAACAAACATGAATGGACAGCCCAGAAAAACTTAGAGGAGTATAAAGAACTGAAAAGATACCAGGATTTGTAATCAAATGGATCAGAGTTCAAACCTGACCTAGCTCTACCTGTGGGACCATTGTTTCTCTAAGTTCTGTAAAATGTGAATCTGTAAAATAAGTGTCATAATGCCTAACTAGCAGCATTGTTGAAAGAATTAGAAATAAGGAGCAGGAAGTCCTGGCTCAGTGACTAGTAGCCATCATTATTGAATTCCTTGAGTCATTTAACAATTGGGGAAATTAACACCCACAGAGAAAACGAAATTTATTTCAAGTCACATAGGAAGTTTAACACAATGTTCTTCCTCCAGGGGCCAATTCAAACTTTAAATTACTCTCTAGACTCTGCTGAAAATGAAGGCAACTCTCTTCAGGGCAGGGCAGAACTGGATCTGTTGGGTGGTTCCAAGTTTCAGGTGCTATAGATGAGGGGCAATGTGGGTCTTCTGGCCTTATTTTCCTCATTATCATCCCAAAAAACTCAACCAGCATTTGGCTAGGGGTAGGGAGGGGGCTTCCGTTTGGTCTGGGGCCCCATGAGTGGGATGCCTGGTTAAATTTGAATTTTATATAAACAACAGGTAAGTGCGCAATACAAGTATATCCCTAGTGGAACAGTAGAGGTTAAACAGGGCATAACTGTACGAAAAAGAAGTATTTGTTGATTATCTGAAATTCAAGTGTAATTGGATATTTCATTGTACTTTTATTTGCTAAATCTGGCAATCCTATCCATGAGTGGAGATGCCCACATGAGAATTCTTGCATTCACTTAGTAAAATAATGTCAAGCTTTTCAGAGCTACCATGTAAGAGCCACCCTTCCACGGACACTCTGCAGCATAAACCTGGAGGCAGGACTTGGGGCGAAGATTGAGAAAGGAGAGAGGAAGGCACAACTGTGCATAATTAACCCATCACCTAAAACTGCTGTCTCAGTTCCTCTCAGCTTTCCTTTTTCTTCCCTGATGAGGTGCGTGCCTTTGAAGTGAAAAGTGAGAAGAGGGATGAGAAGACAGGTGTCTTTGGCCCGTCCTGTGATGGCTCCATTTCCTGTGGCGCATGAACCAATGATGCTCGCCTTTAAAAGTGAAGCCTGGCCGAGCAGCGCTGGAGCCGGGGAAAGGGGCCGCTTTTTGCTTTCTCTTGGGTCAGCGCGTTTTACTAGTCTGTAGGCTGGCAGATTTGTAATAGGATGGTGCTGGGGGAGAAAGAGAAATGGGAAAGAAGTAAGATGGTATTTGAATTCTTTTTATTTCAGCGGAACTCTCATTCTCTAGTCCTTCCTCCAGGACATGGAAAACTGTCTTGTTAACTTTTGTTAAAATTAGTAAGATTCTGACTCTGACTTCTTCGAAAAAAAAAGAGTTGGGGGTGTTATATTCTCACTTCTTTAGGAGAATTGGTTCTTTACCTCATCTCTACCATAATTCCAAGTATGCAGTTCTGACAAGCACTAGGAGACTGCACAGATCTGAGATATTTCCTTCTTCATTTTTATCTGTACTTCTCCTAGCCTGCTTTAAGGGAGGTGGAAGCTTGCTTGCGAGAGCTCCTTCCCAGTTCTCTAAACGGGGTCCATCTCTCAGCTCTCACTCAGTCTTTACTATGAGAACCTATGCTGTCTATCATGGCAGCTGCTGATGATCCCTGTGATCAGAAGACAAAAAGAGAAGCTTCCCCCGGCTTACAAGAGGCTCGAGGTAGGGCTGAGCTGTTCCTTCACATAGGAAAGCTGCTTCTGACTACATGCATCTGTGTAATATCTCTGCTGTCTTATACCAGGGTTTCTCAAAGCAAACTCAAGGTCAGGGCTTGGGCACTTCTTTGGAGCATTCTATTCTTCTGGGTCAGGGTTTTTCATATATGGAGCAAACGAGAGCTCAAGTTGAACTGTGATTAAACCATATTACTTTGGGGTTTTACTACTCAAATGTGCTGAAGTCTTGGCTAGATAAAATGCTAGGCTGATGCTAACATTCACTCCAGTCCATTTGTACTCAATAGTAGTTAATGGCCAAGTACCAGCTGAATGGAAGGGAACAGATGAGGTTCACCTGACGACTTTCATGGATGGGGAAGAGAAATGGTTCGGCACCTCTGACAGGCAGTCTGCTATTCCTTAATTTCACTATGTCTTACAAATGAAGATACTGAGAGTTGGACGTGAAATAACTATCCAAATACCATGCAAAGTTTCCAAATTCAGGTTTAGTTTGGATAATCTAAGTTTAGCATAAGCCATGCTGCCTGAATAGAGACCCTTGACCAGCAAGTCACTCAATCATTAAATAAGCATTTGGTGTTAGGCATGTTAATCTGATAACCACGGATACAGGCTGCTTCCACCAATATGAAACAAATGTTAAGAGCAAACTTTTTTCAACTTTCCCATCATTTACCCTAAATCTCTGATTATGAAAGTTCAGGCACCTTAATTCCATCCCATATAATTAAGGACCTAAAGTACATGGCCTCTGAGGTTGTAACTCTTTCCAGCAGTCACTACCTCAGCTGACTAACAAGGGTGTTCCTTGTAAGGTGCTGCAGTTCCTTAAGCCACCCCCTCGGTGAGAGGGCTAAGTGAGTTTATCTCGAGCTGTGACTCCAGACAAGCACTCAAGCCTAACTGAAACATTGAGTCCAGCAGTCCATGATCTGTAGTCTTGTCAGGAACGTTTCTCTAATCCGCATGAAAAATGGTAGTTTATGAATTTAAAATCTTAAGGCAAATGAGCATAAGTCAAAGATAAAGCCTTCCAATAGTCTTAATATCTAGTGTCAGAAACCTCTTAGATAGAGGTCGTTTCCCTTTTTGACTCTGCCTCTCCACTTTGCACAGACTCAAGTTTCTATAGCCTGTGGCCATGAGTTCCTCCAGTGATTTATTTCTGCCACTCAGAGTTAGGGCAACCAGCTGGTAAAACTATTTAAGAAGGACTGAATTGCTTGTCATGACATGAGGTGTTGTAAGACTTATAACAAGTTTATGGACCTCTGTGGAAATCTGAGTCATTTTTCTTATCACCCATATAAAGGTTTTAGGGCAAGCAGATGAATTGCACGGAGGTGGTTATTTGGCAAATAAGGGACATCTGGGCTATAGTAACAACAAGTAAACCTCTTTGTCTGGGGAGAGGGGAGACTCTTGAATTACTTTCCCAAATTCAGTTTGGTCCTTAGTTTTACAAGGACTTTGGAAAACATTTGGGTTAACTTATCTCTTATAATACAGGCACAATAACTGAATATTCAAAGCTCAAATATTGCTACTTGATGACAGCACCTAGAAAGTCGCCTGAAGTTCTTAATCATCTTAGATATTTTAAATGCCCAGAGCTGAGTATTTCCCAGGGTGCTTCCCACAAACAAGTCCCTATTCCAAGAGAAAAGATCCTATGAACTGTGTACACATTAGCTCTTGATCATATGAAAAGAACTTGATAAAAAGTTGGGGTTAAAATGCCCTTGAAGAAGTAAGCTGTCAATTGGGTTTGCAGAGGCTGGGTAGAATTTACCTGGGCACAGACTAGGTGGAAAGTAAGAATAAACATGTGTAGGAAGGAGGCTTGAAGTGTGGGGTGCAATTTGGCACCCATTTTTAAAGCTCAGTGCTAAAAGCTATCTTCACCTTCTGGTAGAAAAATGCTTTCATCTGTTTTTAGAACCTTGAGTCAACTTTATTTTCATTGTAGTTGGCTCCAGCCTCAGAGCTAGTCATGTTGCCCTGAATACATGGTAGACTCTAAATCCTGTGCTTCAGGTCAGGCTATTATCCCTGCTTGTAAAGCTTTTTCTGCCTCTTCTCTCTGGTACTCTGCTTACAATTTGGTGTCTAGTTGCAAAGTGGTTGCTTGGCTTTTCTGTGGTCACTGAAGTGTATGAATATGATAAGCATGAGATTTGAAGTCATCTCAGTGCAAATCTAAGTGCTACTCTTGGTTAATCTCAAATTATTTTTCATCTATAAAACAAGAAAACCACCACTTTGGAGGTCATATTAGTCAGGATTCTCTAGAGAAAGAGAACCAACAGGATGTGTATAGAGAGATTCATCACAAGAAACTGGTTCATACAACTATAGAGGCTAGGAAGTCCCAAGATCTGCAGTTGGCAAGCTGGACTCCCAGGAGAGCTGATGGTCTAGTTCCAGTCCAAGTCTGCAGGCCTGAGAACCAGGAGATGCAATGGAGTAGTGCTTGTCTCAAGGCCAGCAGGCTTAAGATCCTGTAAGAGCTGAAGTTTCAGTTGGAGTAGAGGGCAGAAAAAGGGCTGACGTCCCACTTTGAAGGAAGTCAGGCAAGAGTCAGCCTTTTATTTTCTATTCAGACCCTCAACTGATTAGATGAGGTCCATCACATTGGAGAGGGCAATCTGTATCTTTCGGTCTACCACCACGCCCGGCTAATTTTTCATATTTTTAGTAGAGACAGGGTTTTCACCGTGTTAGCCAGGATGGTCTCGATCTTCTGACCTTGTGGTCCGCCCACCTCAGCACTCCAAAGAGCTGGGAGTACAGGCATAAGCCACTGCGCCCAGCCTACCAACTGAAGATTTAATCTCATCTGGAAACACCCCAGGCTTTATTTTGAACACCCAAGTACCCAGAATGTTTGACAAAATACCTGGGCAGCTCATGGTCCAGTTAAGGTGACACACAACATTATCACAGGGGTTGTCTTAAGTGTCTATAAAGCACCTATTTGTGCAGTACAATCTTATATGGCAGTGTCTACTAACCAAGCTAATCTGTCTGTTATGGAAGGGAACCCTTTGCCTTTTGCTGCCACTACCTTGCATCAGTAAACGCCCAAAACTGTCTATTCATCTCAGTGGCTTTGAAGTTCTAACGCCAAATTAGTTTGAAAGTAGCAGAGAAGGGTAAATGGTAATTACTTAAGGGCAGCCCCCAGAGTTTTTGTTGTAAATGCTGATGCCTGCAGACAGCATATGGGTTAAAACGGCCTGGAACAGATCTATAGAAGACAATGCAAGCCAGGTGTGGTGGCACATGCCTGAAGTCCCAGATACTCAGGAGTCTGAGGCTAGAGGATCCCTTAAGCCCAGGAGTTTGAGGCTGCAGTGAGCTATGACTGTGTCACTGCACTGCAGCCTGGGTAACAGCAAGACCCCATCTCTATAAAAGAACTTGATAACTACTTGTGTTACACTAATAGAAGGTTAAGGAATCTAGTAACTGCCTCAAGTTACAAAGACCATACAAAATGGACAAACTTCCCATGTTCCAGAACCTACAAGCAGCTATTGCCTACCTCTGTTCCTGCATACCTGTCAAAGCTTCCCTACCAAGCTGAACTTGGGAAAGCAATTAAAGAGCCCCTTTCTATTCAGCGAGAGTGGTGGAGTGGCAGACCTATTGAGATGTCAGGTACACAATCTGGTTTTAGCAGTTTCTCCAGCAGTGGCAAAGTCAAGATAGTAACATGAGGACATACCCTCAACATCCTCATGTGGCTTTGGGCCTCTTCTTTGAAATAATTCTAAAAAAAACATTCAATCCTCATGCAACGCCTCAGCTGACACCTGATATGGTGAGGCCATTCAAATGGCAGGAAACCACTAAGTGTCTAAACCTGAGGTCCAGGCCAAATGAGTGCCTGCTCCCCCTTTTCTTCCTCCCATTGGCCTAGCAGCTTCAGAGGCACAGCCTCACCATGCTGCTGTGCCTGACTCTCAGGAGAACCATTTCTCTACAGGTGACTAAACACAATTTACCTGCGCTAAGTCAAAAAGACATTGCCAATAACCATGCACAGGGAAAGCATTTGGCAACTTCTCATTGTCAAATGCCATGTAATGGTCGTGTTCCCCCTTGAGAAGCCATAATTACGGCCAGAGCTACTGGACTGTGATTTTTCTCACTGTTAGAATTTATAGTCTCTTGGGATATAGAGGAAAATATTTTTTCAAACCAAAAAGGATATCCTGTTCTGAGTAGGAAGGTGGCTGCCCCAAAACAGAGGTATGAGGTGAGCAGGATTTTTGTTGTTAAACCCATAATCCATTTCTTTCCAAGAACAAGGATAATTTTGTACTGGAAGGCTTTGTAATGCAACACATCTTAGTGAAAGGTGTTAAATAAGCTACCTATGACACATTCTGACTCTTGTGGATACGTCGTACCCTATCCTGGATGGAAGAGCTGCCTAAAAATGTGTGTGGTAGGAGGCTTCTGGTTTGGGGCCTAATGTCTGAAGAGCTTGTCACTCCTATCCCTGCAACTAGAAAAAGCTGAACACATTAAAAATCAATACTTCCTTGGCTGGGCGCGGTGGCTCATGCCTGTAATCCCAGCACTTTGGTAGGCCAGGGCGGGAGGATCATGAGGTCAGGAGATAGAGACCATCCTGGCTAACATGGTGAAACACCATCTCTACTAAAAATACAAAAAAAAAAAAAATTAGCCGGGTGCAGTGGCGGGCGCCTGTAGTCCCAGCTACTCAGGAGGCTGAGGCAGGAAAATGGCGTGACCCTGGGAGGCAGAGCTTGCAGTAAGCCGAGATCACGCCACTGCACTCCAGCCTGGGCGACAGAGTGAGACTCCGTCTCAAAAAAAAAAAAATCAGTACTTCCTGGAGCCATCAGAATTGAGGTCATGGGACAAGTTGCTCTCTCCAGAATTGGAGAGACAGAAAAGCAGATACAGAGGATAACTTACCAAGTCAGAAACCTACTAGCAGAAGCCTTTGCAGGACCAAGCACTGAGGTAGGAAACCTGTACTGTAACTGAATTGCTGGAGGTTTAGTGTGGGCAAGTTTGAGAGTTAAACTCTTTCTTGGGAAGTAGGGGGCACACTCTTGTGAGTTTTACTTCTAGGAGCCCTACCAACTTCTCATAGTGAAGATAAGGGGGAAAATCCCCTCCTGCTTCTGGTAGAGGAGGGGAAAAGTAACCATTTTAAAACACACCAGAGCATTCTATTCTTCTTCCTCAAAGAAGTTATTTTGCTACAACCTAAACTACTGGTGTTTTATCAGAGCCTAACTGACTAGGGGGAAAGGAAAAGCTCAGCTGCATCATGCTCCAGCTATCTTGTCTCAAGTTGGAGGAAAGGAAGAAAAAAAAAACTGAGAAGCATTTGTGAAGATCACAACCCAGGCAAATAGGCTCACCAAAAGACTGAGACCTCACAAAGACTGAGGACTCTAGGATACCTCCTCTCCCCTAACACTTCACTACCAAGTTAGTTCTCCTGTGCAGGGGCAGGGAAATGCAATAGAAAAAACTGCACATCTCAGGCCTCATTCAAGAAATCTCTAAACTCCAGAGACAATGAGCAACAGAAACCAATACCCTAAAGGGGAAAGCCTAGCCTCTGACACAGCTACGGCAAGCAGCAAACGAGCCAAACACAAAACCTATTTACATCAATTCATTTTACCCAGTATATAATGTCCACCTTCCAATAATTTTTTCCAAAATGTGCTAAAAGACAAAAATACAGTTTGAGAAGGTAGAGCAAATATCAGAACTAGACTTTCATGGCAAATACATTGGAACTAAGACTAGAAACTTAAAACCATGCCTGTAGAGAAAGAGAAGAATAATTACATTGGAGTTCAGAAATCATGCAAGCAAGAGTGGAGTGAGATATTAGTTTGCGGGGGGTTCAGGGGAACCACCAACCTGGAGAACTCTTATCCACTGACTTTCTCCCTCAAAAGTGGAGAAACACTGAGCCAAACATTAAGGGAATTTGTTGCCAGTAAACCTACCTTGCAAGAAATGCTAAACTCTTCAGAAGGAAAATGATACAGGTCAAACTCAGATCTACATAAAGAACATTAGCAGAGGAATAAGTTAAGGTAAAACCTATTTTCTTAATGGATCTGGCTTGTTCAAAATAGCAACAATACACTTGATTACAATTTATGGATAAAGGAAATGAAAGACAAATGTTAAGGTTCAGGAGGGAGGAATTAGGAGTATATTGTGATAAGGTAATTGCACTAAGAAGTGAGATGGTCTTATGTGAAAGAGAGCTTATATTAGCTGTAAATGTACACTGCAGTCTCAAAAGCAACCAGCAAAGTGTAATTGATATACTAAGAGGAGAAAAAAGGCAATTATACAGAATGCTCAGTTAAAACCAGAGAAAGCAGAGTAGAAGACAAAAAAGACCAAGGGCAACTAAAAGGAATCAATCCAACTATATCAATCTTAAACATTGATGGTCTAAATACACCAATTGTCAATGTCAAACAAGACCCGACTCTATGTTGTCTACAAAAAACATGTTAAATAGACTTGTATATATACATTATCTTTAGTCTATCAGCTGTGCGTATATATATCAGATATATACCTGATGGTTTAGCTCTGTGTCCCCACCCAAATCTCGAATTGTAATCCTCACATGTCAAGGGAGAGATCTGTAATCTCCATGTGTGGAGGGAGGGAGGTGATTGGATCATGTGGGCAGTTTCTCCCATGCTGTTCTCATGATAGTGAGTTCTGATGATATCTGATGGTTTTATAAGTGTCTGGCATTTCTCCTGCTTGCATTTCTCTCTCTTGGCACCATGAGAAGAAGGTTCTTGCTTCCCCTTTGCTTTTTGCCATGATTGTAAGTTTCCTGAGGCCTCCCTCCCCAGCCATGTGGAACTGAGTCAATAAAGGCTCTTTTATAAATTACCCAGCCTTGGTTATTTCATTATAGCAGTGTGAAAACTGACTAATACAATACCATTTTAATCTGGTTATGTTCAGGTTTGTTCCCAGCTGTTTTACTTGTATGTTAAATGAACTGTTGTCAGGCCTATTTGAGTTTATGAATTAACTTAGCAAGTCTGACAGAACTGAGTTTGTAATGGACAGTTCTAGACTCATGGGCACTTGGAGCTCTCTGGTCAAGCTCTGTCTCAGCAACATGACAGCAACTTCTTGAATACAATTCTCCATCATGAATAGCAAGGGCCTTGCTCTGTATTAGTCAGGGTTCTCTAGAAGGACAGAACTAATAGGATAGATGTATATATGAGGGGGAGTCTTAAGAAGTATTGACTCACAAGATCACAAGGTGAAGTCCCGTAATAGGCCATCTGGAAGCTGAGGAGCAAGGAAGCCAGTCTGAGTCCTAGTACCTCAAAAGTAGGGAAGCCAACAGTACAAACCTCAGTCTGTGGCCAAAGGCTCGAGAGCCCCTGGTGAACCACTGGTGTAAGTCCAAGTGTCCATAATCTGAAGAACTTGGAGTCTGACGTTCAGGGGCAGGAAGCATCCAGCACGGGAGAAAGATGAAGGCCAGAAGACTCAGCAAGTCTGTTGATCACTTTCTTCTGCCTGCTTTATTCTAGCCGTGTGGGTAGCTGATTAGATGGTACCCACCCAGACTGAGGGTGGGTCTGTCTCTCCCAGTCCACTGACTCAGATGGTAATCTCCTTTGGCAACACCTTCACAGACACATATGGGAACAATACTTTGCATCCTTCAATCAAGTTGACAATATTTACCATCACAAGCTCCAAACCCATTTTTGTTCTTCTTCTAACAAACATGGCAAACCATGTCATTAAACTAGCCATCTATTTATTTTGTCTTCATCTGATCATGTTTGGTTACTACTTGTTCAGTTTGTTTACAAAATAGGATTATCTTAGAAATTTTGCAGGTATTTACTAAAAGACGCAGGCTCCGTTGTGGGAGGAGGGGAATGGGAAAGCTTGTTGGATAGTCAGGTAAAAGTCAAGCCTTTATCAGCTCTATCCATACAGGGTAAAATGATTTAAGGTTTGCATAAGAGGTCATACTGCACAGCAGCGAAGACTAGTTCTTAAGTTTTAATTTTGGATTGTATTTGGTGAAGATTCCTCTTAGAGGCTACCATTTGACTTGACTTCCTCTTGGACAAATACCACTAACAAGCCCAAATTAGGGAAAGGCACTCTAGGAAGATGCATAAGTGATGCTGGGAGTATTAAATAGTCCATTAAGTCTGGAAAGCTGGAGAGACTTAAGTGTCAAGAGAATAGACTCTTATAATTCAAATTCTTACCTCTTGGAGCCAGGAGAGGGAAGACTTGCACGAAGTGTGGTAGAAAGAGTCTTAAAGATCGAATTCCACTTGCACCTTGAGTTTTTGGCTCACCAATGAAAGGAATGGAAAATATTACCCACTGTTTTCATGCTCAAAAGGCAGATTAATCTGGGATACCAAATTCTTTAAACTCCCAAAATGGAAATGGAAGGCCTCTGATAGGATATGAGGCATTGTCTGACATGCAGTTCATGTAAAAATGAACAGACAAGCTGACTAATCAGTTGTTCACATGCAAATTGTCCCCCAAGGACTGACAGTGATTGCAATTGGTGTTCTTAATAGTTCTGGGAAGCAGAAAACCAGGGACCTTGCTCTTCAAACATTTATACCACAATAGAAATACCAGTCAAATATTCCAAGTCATAAAAGATAATGTAAAACAGATGCCTTTACCTTTAGAAGTTTAACTTGGTTTTGATCAATAATGAGCTTATCTTAAACTTAGTGGAAGAGACATGGAAATGTTCAGGCTTTCCTTCATTAATACCAAGACTTGATTTTTAAAATAAAGAGCTAAAGTATTGTCTAGTCATAACAGTAATTGTTTCTTAGCAACATAGGACTTTTAGAAATAACCAAGCAAGCTTACAACCTTGAAAATAGGCTTAGAGCAATGAGCATATACCTGTGGATCTCCCTTTACCTAAATGCAGTTTTGGACTCTGTCAAGGGGTCTACAAATCTAGATTTTGATAAATGAATCCTCTTGTCAGAACTTGAGTTCCCTGTGGTATTAGTTATTGGACAACACTTATATTTTCCTAATATACAAGTTCCCTAACTTGGTAACAAAAGCTTAGAGAAGAATAACTTCATAGCATGTAACATTTGTGTTCTTTGTGCCAAGCACTATTAGGTGCTTTATACGGTATCTTGTAAACCCATGATACTTGCTATTAAAATATACCCCCTTGACAGATGAGTAATTTGAACAGGATAAGCAAATAACCTATTCTCACATTGCTGCGACTTAGGCCCATGAAATCTGAGTCTGAAGCCACTTCTTGACTAACCTATATTCTACATGTCAGAGGCATATCAGCCTCTGGAAGCTCATGAGTTATGTAGTTATTCCTTATGTATCTCAACCACAGGGTGGTAGTGAGGAACCTGCTAGTGTTGTCTGTCAACTCTGACTCTGGTATTTCAATCCCCTCTGAAGTTGTGGACCATGAGATCAGCTCTCAATGGTGATGGACAGTATAATGCAACAACTCCTAAGACAGAGTGTCACCACCCACCCAGGTTGCTTTAAAAACTCATGAGGGCAGTTTTAGTTGTCACAACTATTGCAGGCTGTCACCACTGGCAACCAGTGGGCAGGGCTCCAAAGCTCCGGAATGTTAAGTCTCTGACAGCCCAACACAGTGAATAACTTATGTGCAGATTAAAAAATAATTAAATCTGATCTTGGAACTTTTATACTGGTTAATAGTTTCCAAGAATGCATCACCTCAGAATAAGGCTGACTTTTGATAAAGTTCTGAAAACAAAGTATACCTATTTTGTAAAGGCATATTAAAGACAATGCCACTAGGTATTTATGGCCACTTCAGTGCACCTGGCTTGGTCCGTGTCTGTAGTCATCACCTGGTGTCTCTCCACACAAGGACAAGCATCTGACTCCTTCATTATGTCTCTTATTTAGTTTTGCCTGAGATACAATAAAGTGCATATTTAATTTCATCTAATTTTTATCAAAGATTAATCCTTTCCTGAAAACATTTTGGATAGGACACACTTGGATAGAAGGATTAGCTTATCCTAAATGGGGAAAAACAGCCTGTCTAAAACCTCAATTTCTTCAAATATTGCTAAAGTACCCATAAACATCTATATAACAATGCACCAAGGATTTCTATGACAATGCAGTTAAAACATCTATACACTAGCTTGTCCACTAATTTATGTTAAGCTTGTATAGTATCAGCAATATTGTACAGTACCAGACATAAAATTTTAACACTAGCAGAAGTAAACCAAGACCGATGAGGGGCTAAACACTCACAAAAGGTAGAGATGATGATACCTGTAATACAATGTTGATTAAATGTGAGCACAAGGTTTGAGTTTACTGGTAGAATAACTGACTTCTATGAAACTCGTGTTTATCTGAGTAAACTTTTTTTCAAAGAAAGCTTGAGTCATGAGTTAAAGTGAAGAATGACTATTCCTACAGTAAAAGCACTGGCTTTTATTTAGAACGTGGTTTAATTCCATTCCATTTCCTACTGAACGGACACACAAACTCCATTAGAAAAAAAACAAAAAAAAAAAACCCAGGGTGTTATTCCACTAGATAAATGGCTTTCAAATGACTGAATCTCAACTCAAAGAACTTGAAACCTGACACTTACTGGACCTGTGCTCTGGCAAGTCACTTCATCTCTTCAGATCTCCCTCAATAAAATGGAACACTGCCCTCTGAAGGTGTCTGAAAGCCAAATGGGAACATATGAAAACTGATACACAGCCTAGCACAAAATAGCTTCTCATATAGTTCATTTACCTACTGAAATGTGATTTGAAACTTCAGCCTCTAGTGAATTCAGCCTTATCTCTCAAGGGCAGGATTTCTACATTTGAAGACTCCAGCCATGACAAAAGCCATGACTTTGATGAAAACATACTACCCAAATGGCTTTACCTCATTTGGGACTTTAACCTCCTCCTTCTGGGGTTATACTAGACATACGCTATTGTAGTTGACGTGTACTATCTCAAGTCTTCTCAGTTGACCTTTCCTTCATATTATAAAAGTACCCTGCAAGGGACCCCTTTTTCCAAGAAAAACTTGGAATACCTTCTATTTATTCAGTTCCTCCAGTTGTAACTGAGTCATTTTAATTTGTCAGGAAGAAGTGTTCTTGTGAAAAGTATGACTTTGGCATTAGACTTGGGTTGATGTTAGCTAGTCTGTTTACTTAGCTGTATTAATCTGAGAACTTGCTTAATCCCTGGACCTTGACATCATCTGTAAAACTGGAATAACTTAAAGATTGAAAGGGATGCATGTATATTCCCTATGTAGTACCTGGCTTAGGACGAGTACTAGCTAGGCATTAACCTTGCTGATAAGTGTAAGAATCTAGCAATAAATTAACAGTAGCTTTCAAACACTTGACTGCAACCAGTATTTATAAGTAACTTATAGCATGACTTGGAACACATACACCTATGTTTATAACTGAAACAAGCTTTGTGAAACAGCTTACACTTAGTATGAAGGACACTAAAATTCTATCATGCTGTTAAATGCTGAGCATGACCTACTTGATTTCATTCAGCTATCATGAACCATGGCTAGCAGACTGAAATACCGGGGTGGAAAACCCAGTGAAGCATTACTGCTAGCTAGTCTCCATATATGAAGCATCTTCTAGTGGTACTAAGGAGGACTTGGGCAGCTCTACCTTATCTCTCATCTTGGAATCGATGACTGTAATTCAGGAGTCAGAAAGCTTTTGGTGCAACAGGGCAAGATGGTATATATATATATATATATATATATATATATATATATATATATAAATAAAACGCTTTGGGGTCACAAAAGTCTTCTCTTCTCCTCTTATTTTACAACCTCTTAAAAATCATTCTTAGCTTGCTGGGCTGTACAAAAACAGTCTTCAGGTCAGTTTTGACTCATAGGTCTTAGTTTGCTGGCCCTTGATCTAATCAAACAAGCTTCCAACTCGAAGGTCAAAGGGATTCTCTGAAAAGTTCCTTAAGGCTATTGCAGTAGCTTCCACTTTCTCAAAGAATGTAGACAGCCTCTCCACAGATCAGTGTTCGGCCAATAATATTTTATAGTAACTTATTTTAAATGTTTCACTCTTAAGAGCAGAAATAAAGCTTTAACTCAATGGATATATAAAACTCATTTGCAATAAATCAATATTCCTTTTGAATATAACTCTTCAGGGATTCCTTCTACTCTAGTCACACTGGCAATTGGCAGGTAGGAGCAGGAGGCTTAGAAGGATGATCCCTGTCTCTGTCTATCAGTGACAACGTATTAGCTAGTGCACTAGTTTGAGTCCTCCAAGAATCAGATGCCAAGATGCAATCAGATAAAAAATCTACTGGGGGAATTTCTTTAATTGGAAAAAATGAGGGGAAACAGTAGGTAGGGAGAGCCTCTGACCATGATGCAGATCTGACATTTGTAGAATGAGAGGAAAGGAGGGTTTGGGAGAAGACAGACTACGGCACAGTTCTGAGATTGTGTGTCTCTGCAGGGAAATTCCTTCCTTATCCTCCTTGTAGAATAACTGTCTGAGTCTCTAAACTAACAATCTCTAAAGCAAGCTAAGGTGAAGAGTTCCACATTTATAAAAATGAAGCTTAGGTTAACTTGTCAGAAGACTCCGGTATCATCCTAGTTAAGATGTTCCTTAAAGTAATACTTTCTCTCCTGTACTCAGCATTCCTTCAGACTGTCCCCTTAGGCCTATGTTTTTTTCTTTTTGAGATGAAGTCTCGCTCTGTTGCCCAGGCTGGAATGCAGTGGTGCAATCTCGGCTCACTGCAACCTCCGCCTCTCGGATTCAAGCGATTCTCATGCCTTAGACTCCCAAGTAGCTGGGATTACAGGCACATGCCACTGCATCTGGCTAATTTTTTTTATTTTTAGTAGAGACAGGGTTTCATCATGTTGGTCAGGCTGGTCTCGAATTCCTGATCTCAGGTAATCTGATCACCTCAACCTCCCAAAGTGCTGGTATTACAGGCATGAGCCACCACACCTGGCCAGCCTATTTTTTTTATGAATGACTTCAGATATGCCCTGGCTTGCCTCTTCTAGGGCCATCATATTTTTCTAGCAGGTTAAAGTACAGTCTCAGTGGTCTCATCTGTAGCACCAAAATGACACTTCCTAAATCACATGAGTTTGTCAGCCATATTTATTGCACTGAATAGGAAGAATTTGTGTTCTTCCTGACAGGTTCTTGGCTACAAAAGCATTGAAAAGGAGATCTCATCTTCATTTACTCTCTTCAAGTAATCAAATTTCCCTTGGTTCTCATTTGGAACTATAAAAGATTTCTACATCTCTTCTAGTGATTAGCTTGGTAAGACTGATCCAAACTCAAGTACTGGAGGATAACTTTCTCACAAATAGTTCTAGAATACAGCTGTACTAGTTCATTTTTATACTGCTATGAAGAACTGCCTAAGGCTGGGTAGTTTATACAGAAGAGAGGCTTAATTGAGTCACCATTCTTCATGGCTGGGGAGGCCTCAGGAAACTTAAAATCACGGCAGAAGGGGAAGAGGCATGTCTCACCCACGAAGGCAGGTGAGAGAACATGTGAAGAAGGAACTGTCAAACACTTGTAGAACCATCAGACCTTGTGAGAACACATTCACTATAATGAGAATAGCATGAAGAAAACCACCCCCATGATCTAATCACCTCCCACCAGGGCCCTCCCCCAACACATGAGGATTTTGGGGATTACAATTTGAGGTGAGATTTGGGTAAGAAGAACCAAACCATATCATTCTGCCTCTGGGCCCTCCCAAATCTCACATCCTTTTTACATTTCAAAACAAGTCATGGCTTCCCAACAATCCCCCAGAGTCTTAACTCATTTCAGCATTAACCCAAAAGTCCAAGTCCAAAGTCTTATCTGAGACAAAGCAAGTCCCTTGCGCCTAAGAGTCTGTAAGATCAAAAGCAAGTTAGTCACTTCCAAGATACAGTGGGGGTACAGGTATTGGATAAATGCTCCTGTTCCAAATGGAAGAAATTGGCCATGTTGAATGCTTTACAGAACGTTTTTAATGTACTTTGCCAGATCCGTCAGAGAAATTAATGGCAGCTATATCTTCACAAAATGCATCCCTCTAAGGCTTGAAAGTCAAAATTACTCATTGATCCATGGGCTGCAGAATGCATGTTGTGTTGCCAAGCAAGAAAAAAATACCTGCTTGTACATCTCCATCAGAGCACTTGGGTGACCAGGCACATTGTCAGTGAGCATTAATATTTTGAAAGGAATCTTTTTCTGAGCAGTGGGTCTCAACAGAGAGCTTAAAATATTAAGCAAATCATGCTGTAAACAGATGTGCTGTCATCCAGGCTTTATTCTATTGACAGAGCACAGGCGGAGGAGATTTAGCATAATTCTTAAGGACACCAAGATTTTTTAAATGGTAAATAAGCATTGGCTTCAACTTAATCACTAGATGCATTCACCTCTAACAAGAGTCGGCCTGTTCTTTGAAGCTTTGAAGCCAGGAATTGACTTCTAGCTATGAAAGTCCTAGATGACATCTTGTTTTAATAGAAGGCTGTTTCTACATTGAAAATCTGTTTAGTGTAGCCACCTTCACCAATTACCTTAGCTACATCTTCTGGATAACTTGCTGCTTTACCTTGCACTTTTATATTATGAAGACAGCGTCTTTCCTAAAACTCCGTGGACTCAACCTTTGCTACTTTCTAACTTTTCTGCAGTTTCCTCACCTCTCAGCCTTCGTAGATTTGAATAGTGTAAGTGCTTTGCTTTGACTCTGGCTTAAGGGAATGTCATAGCTGGTTTGATCTTCAACCCAGAAGGCTGAAATGTTCTCCCTATCAGCAATACAGCTATCTTGTTTCTTACCATTCATGTCTTCACAGGAGTAAAACTTCTTCAGTAACTTTGCCTTTACAACTTCACTGTTTGGTGCAAAAGGCCTAACTTCTGGCCTATATCAGCTTTTAACATGCTTTCCTTACTAAATCTAATCATTTCTAGCTTTGGCTTTAAAGTGAAAAACATACCAGTCTTTCACTTGAACACTTAGAGGTCATTGTTAGGGCTATTAAGTCAGCCTAATTTCAATATCGTCTCAGGGATTAGGGAGGCAGGAGGAGAAATATGAGGGAATAATCAGTCACTGGAACAGTCAGAACAAACTTATCAATTAAGTTTTTCTTATATGGGCACAGTTCATGGTACCCAAAAACAGTTACAATTATTACAAAGAATGCTAATCACTGTAACACTTATAACAATGAAAGTTTGAAATTTTGTGAGTATTATCAAAATGTGACATAGATATGAAATGAGCACATGCTGTTGTAAAAATCGTGCCATTTACTTGCCTGAAATAGGATTGTCACAAACTTAATTGGTAACCCCAGTGTCTATAATGCAACAAAGTGAGGTACGCCTGCATGTGCTCATATCATTCTGAAGACAACGCATGCCTCCATGTACTTCTAAAACTTCTTTAGATGCCCAAGAATGATGCCCACAAAGAGTGATACTATTTTTTAATTCCAACAGCTATACCTACACTAATGAGAACCATGTTCTAAGGCACACATAACAGTGCAATTGCATAGTTGATACCTACGTACCACTTTGACCTACTTCAAGAAGTGAGTTGGTTCATTGCAAACCTGCCTGGTCATTCTTGAGTATCTTTTTCTAAAGTTATACATTTGGTACTTTCTATTTCCTATCTCTTAATACCTGTAGTTCTGAGCCTGATTCTGCTTTTTTCTTTTCCCCCTGCTGTTTCTTATGGTGTTGTCTGTCCTGACTTTTTGAGATTCAAGATATGCTTCTCCAGATCATACCTGCATTTGCTTCTATTGGGCCTATGAGACAAATATAAAGGCAGAACCACTTTATTTTTGTGGTAGAAAATGAACTTTATGAAGCTTATTAAAGAACTAGAGACTTAGCATAATATGCAAGTCACAAAGATTAGGATCTCTTACTGAATATAATTAAGCATAAAATATAATATGGAGAAAAACTAACTTCTGTGGTTCTGTGGTATCACTTAACTGAAGGTGATGCTATGCAACTTGTCACAGCTGCAAACATGTAGAATTGGTACATGAGCGGGAGAGATACTAACATCAGAGTTTCTTTCTGGGAAGGGAGTGAAGGGAATGAGTTAGCATATTTGTGTCTAAAGCTTCGTTTGATTCTAAAAGTCAACCCTTCATTGTAAACATCACTTCAAAAGTTTACAAAATCTTGCTCTTAGATTTCAGCAAACTTTTTCTAGAATATGTGTAGGTGTTTCTCTTATCAATTCTACCTGGATAGCCCTTCCAAACAGGCCTTTCAAATGACTTTTCATTTCAGAGAAACCTTCTTAGTTTCACTCTCTTCCTTCAGGAATGCCTATCTGCATGTTTTCCCGTATCTCTCCTCAAGCCTTTGCATCTTCGTGTACTATTTTCTACTGCTGAAATCCTCAAATCTACCACAAGAAAGGCTTACTATATTTATCTTCATACAGTGGCTCCACACAGAATCCCTAGGATTTTTATTGGACTAGATAAAAAAATCCTTTCTTATCCCCAGATACTTCTCATACCAGAAAATGTACCCCTTCTTTCAAAGGTCTTAAGATTTATCTATATTCTTGTCTTGCCATTGGGTTTCACTGGTGTACAAGTGAGCTGTTTGGATCATGTTTAGTCTTTGCCTATACAGCTTCATTTCTGTTCCCTAGCTCTTGTGTTTATCCTTCTTATTGTCTCAGGGCTCCGCTGATTTTTCCTGGAATTACTTTCAAGCTTGGTGGTGGTCTCTTCCCCCATGTCCCTAAAGAGAAGGGGTTTTGAACACTTCATCTTGTTATTACTGGGAAAATTCTTGCCACTAGTTGTGATCACATTCGTAGTTAATCACTCAGACCCTAGACAATAGTAAAAGTGTCTAAATACAGATTTCTAACTCTAACACGCTACCAGTCATGTGAAACAGTCATTTATATAATCCTTTCTATTGACTTCATTTCTCCACTTTTCACAGATCTTAGCAGTGTGGGGCTGCCAACAATGTTGGAAGGATATTTAACTGTCTCAACTTAGATTTGGGATGATAATTCTGATGTCCTTGAGTCCGTTGGGCTAATTTTTTTAACCAGAAGTAGAGATCTCTTTAAAGTTTTTCCTCAACTAAATTGACTTGGGAAGAATGAATAAACTTAACCACTTACATCTTTGCCTTAACTATAGAGAGATTCACTGGTAATGGAATATGACCTAGTCTTAACAATAAATTAAGCTTTCACATTTGGTATCCCAACCGTATTCTAATATCCCACAAACTAGCTTTAAAATGTTCTGTGTTCAGGACCTTGCTCTCAGGATTTTAAGTAACTACTGGGGTTGGAGGAGTCTGCAGTAACCCTAAATCTGTTGGCTATGCTAGATTGGCCTTCAGAGGCCAGATGAGGACCGCCACCTCCTGGGCAGAAGCCAGAACGATGCCCACAAAAAGTGATACTAGCTTTAATTCCAACAGCATCTAACTCTTACGAACCTGCAGGTTTTGGTCCCACTTTGAGGATCCCACCAAGGAAGCAGGGCTGCAACACAAACAGGATATATTTATCTTTCAGATGGAAGTAGTAAGAAATGGAGTACAGAAGTTGGACCAGACTGGCTAGCGTGTGGGACTGAGGAAGCAGGACAATCTGTAGGTTCTATGCCTCTGGCAGGATCCCAAAAACAAATTGCATTGTTTTATCTATGTAATGTGAAATCACTTAGAAACTGGCCTCTGACCAAAGGCTACTCAAAGCACTGTAACAGCCTTCAGCAGGGTTTCTCCCTCTTGAGGAGCTGGGCAGAAAATACAAAGTCTTCAGATTATCTATATTCATGATACCATCACATTTGACCTGAGTCATATTCTAAAGTTACACTAACGCATGAAGGAGACCATAAAATTCCAGATAACTCAAACTGAAATGTAACTGTTTGTTCTTACTTTACCAGGGATCTTGAGAGGGATGAAGGATACAAGTAGGGTAGGAGTTACTTGCTGTGACCGGAAGCCCTCGTTATAGGGCAAGTTTCCTATTTTAGGCTTTCCTGTTGGGGCAGAAAGGCTTGGCATAGAGGTGATGGCTACTAGAGGATTCATTGTTTTCCACTCTGGAGTCCAAGTCAAATAGAAAGTTTCCTTAGGGCCACTGTCTTATTTTCTTCCCCTTTTCACTTTAAGCAAACAAAACTTGTTCTCTGGCCAATTTTCATAAGGAATTGTTTTATTCCAATTACAGTCAACAGGATCCTAGGGATTTGTAGACAAGCTTGACCAGTGGATCAATCTCACAACATAGGAATGTTAGCTACAATTTGACTAAAAACCTATCTTTAGGAGGATATGGCTTTCTCCTAGGGATGTTTTTGCTTCCTAGTAATCTGGTCAGCTTTGTGCAGTAGTTCTGGGTATGTGGTAGTTCTTGGCATGGGGGAGCCTTGACTGTAGGAAATATTCCATATGGCTAGTCTCAAAAGCTTGTCCTCCTCCAGATACCAATCTCAGGTGCATGTGGCTTAGCCACTTTTGCTATCAGGGCGTTTTGGCATAAAAAGTTAAAGGAAGATCTTACAACTGATTCTGAATCACAGAAAAGCAGATACAACAAGGAGAGAAAGCCACTACCCAAAATCTCCTGCTAGCTTCCTTGCTGTGAGGCAACAGCGTCTGGCAGTATCAGTAAGTGAAAAACCAAAGTTGCCTGTCTTGGGAAAGCTATATTTCAGTGAATGTTGTGAAAAACTTAAGGGTAGATGATTGCACTGGCTGAAAAGCATGTGGCCTGGCATCTGTATTCCTGTCACTCTACAACAGTCTGGATTCAGATAGTGAGAAAGGGCCAGGTAGACCTGCAAACAACATACATACTGGCTTTGGGTACTTCTGAGTACTTTGGATCAGTGAGTGGCAACTTTCCACCCAGGTATGTATCCATTGTCTTCAGACAGTTAAGCTTACTGGCATGGGGGCTGCCATCCAAATGCTGTTCCTTGTGGGGCTGGGTTGAACTTGAGTCTTTGGCTGAGAAGACAAATGTGCCCGTATTCCATCCTGCTTCCTGTTCCCTGCTCACATCTGCATCTTCCAGGTTATCAAGGACTTTCTTATTACTACTTTCCTTACTCTCTAAGCCAAATCTCTGCTTACATTCATCTTTTTAGATGCTATTTATCTTGTTCTCCTTTTCTACTCAAAGCTGTTATAAGAAAGTGCTTTTATAGGGGGCAGCTGTAATGTAAAGCCTTCTCCTACATTTTAAAGCTTAAATTAGTCTCTAAAACAGATCTCCCAAAAAGACAATTTCTCAACAAAAATGTTAATGCTGAAGCCTCTTGAATTTCCTCCCACATCAGCTGCCATGTGTATAACTTACTGTTTTTTTAATGGATTTTAACCCAATCACTGCATACAAATGAGTGCCAGCCACAAACTTGACCTTGAGTCCAGGTACTATCTAGATGAAACCAGGAACAGGTTTTCCAGAGAATTACTGATACAGTAAGAAGACCTGTTCCTTTCATGCCTATGGATAAAAATCCACAAATCTCTACTGAAGAAAGACGTGTCACATTTCATCACAGGCCTGAGCTCTGTATTGATAGAGACAATCTAACTTGTTGGGCACAAACTCCGCATACTAAAAATTGTTCATTTATTTTGCAAAGGCTCAGACTGCCTGACATATGTAGCTGGTTCTCCTTTTCTTTTAGATCTCAAAATTGCTGCTACTTATGCCTAATCTCTGCTTTATTACTCAGGTTTTAACATTTCTCATAATGTTTCTTTACATAAGTTTTCTCTCTGAAGGGGGACCGCTTTTAACTTATGGCTAGAAAGCAGCCTGACATTATTTTTGTCTTCTCTGGAAATGAACTAGGATCTCTGTGGCTGCCTTGAGAGCCAGCCCATCTGTCTCTGACCCCAAGGAAGCCAATCAAAGTCTCCTTCCCCACTGGGACCCATGCAGCCCTCTTGTCTAGTTATTCTTTGGTTCTCAGGCATCTTAATCCTTATCAGTGAGAAATGTCATGTAAGTCTTGAGGTAGAGCCTATATAATACCTACAGGCTTTAATAACAAAGATGTTCTGGGTATTAGTTAGAATGTAGGACAAGTTAGTCAGCGCAGAACTCCAGGCTTCCCTTCTTTGCTTACTGTCACCCATCTTCAGCATTATCAGCTCTTGAAAACTTCTATTCTGGTGGGTGTGTACTAGTATAGCATCATGAGTTTGTTTAGGTTTTTCTCTGCATTTTATGGTTAAGACATATAAAGTCTACCTAGCCAGCATTAGGTGTTAAGAGAAAATAACATACTTAGCTCAAGTAGGAGAAATATAAAAATGCTTTAGTGACATATGGTATTTAAAGAATTTTTAAAGGAACACTTTGACCATATGAAAGGTGAGCCTTTTAACCATATAGTTTTCTCTAACTCTTAGACCTAGATTTACAAGATAATGCGTAAGCAAGACTTCAACACACCTTTCAAAGCATGGCTCTATGACAAACTTATTCTGCAAATGCCATGCTTAGCTATGTCACTTGAATACAGACGATTAATTATTGATTTAAGTAAGTCTTTAAGACTTAGGACACTGTCAATAGGTAAGAGTAGTCGCAAACCATTCCATAGACTACATCTGTAGTATGATGATAAAGAATACTTACAGCCTTGTTTGCCTCATCCTGTTACGTTCTAAGGACACTGCTGAAACTGCGGTCAAGTTCCTTCAGCAGTCAGCCCATTGCCAGAGTAATACTAGCACAGAGACTGAAGTTTCCTTAGCAAGATGCACAAGGCTCCTTCTTAAGCTCTAACACCTGGTCTCTTTCTGTGACCATTGTTCTTAAGTGGTCTGAAGTCCTGGTTGGTTTCTGTTTATTTTAGGGAGTGGAGGGCAGGTTTTCTCTTAGAAATTTTTGCCTTTGGCAGAGTTGCAGGGTCATTAGCATAGTGTTCATGTCTCTGGGATAAGAATGGCCTCAACCATGCAGTCTGAGGACTTCTAGTAGTCTTGTCAATAAACTAATCAATTTTATCAATAGTGGCAGACTGAATGGTGCCTCTTAAAGAGCTACCAACAGTTACTATGATGTAAATGCAATCCTCTTTTTCAGTTGTTTCTTGCAGGTTTGCCTGCAAGTTGATTTTTACAGGCTTACTGGCATGACTTTCTCTGCCTTGCTAGAAGAACAATTGATATTTTTAATCTTCAAAATTTAGGTATCTAATGGTTTGCCATGTGTTTATAAAAACTTTCAGTTCTTACTAAAATTTTGGATCACTTATGCCCATGGTGTGAGATTAACATATGAGTTACTGGATCCTAAGCATAGGCTGGTGGGTATACATAGGTGTATTTATCCCACTGGAAGCCCCATACATGTCTTGAATATAAGACAAAATGCTGCAATTGCATTTACTTTGAATCATAATCGTATGATGTTACAATCATAAAGATTCTCTCATGCAGATGCTGAATACAATTCATAAATGTCCTCTGACCCCTTAACTACATCTTATGTTGCCAATATACCCTGACTGTGCTCACTGAAAATGAGTAGCCATCCTAAGACAATGACGTTTCTTAGTGTACAACTATTCTCCATTTATGCACATCTGCTTCATCTCAGTCCATTCTCTACCCTTCTGCCTTGCTCTGTTCCAGTAGGCTATGTTCTATAAACTATACTTCACAAATGTATAGTCTGCTATCCCTGCCTATATACTTATCAAGTAAAAATGAATAACTTAGAACTGAAATTAGCAATATTTTTCAGGTTAGATAAAATGCTTAGCTTTCCTAGGTAGATAAAATGCTTAGCTTTCCTAGGTAGCTAAATATAGAATGGGAAGACCTGGTAGGCACCTCTATTAATAAGCAAAACTGGCACCATGGAGGAATGAACTTCTGTCCTGGGGCACCTTGAAGCAGAGGTCACAATTCATCCCTATCTTTCTAGTTGAACCAGCTTTGGGACTTCTTACTATGCTTTCTCCCTGAAAGGCCTTCATGTGGCCTTTTCCTTAAATAGCTGGCTGAGTAGGCAGAGAATAGGCAGTTGTAAACATCTGTCAGAGTTCATCCCAGGTGGGCATACAAATAGGACTCCAACGTCTGACTGAAATAGGCACACAAAGCCTGCATATGTGGCTGGAAGCACTTCATGTGGGTCCTGTCTGTCTTGCTGGGACACCTGTATCCCTCAGTTCAATACTTTTCTTGATCTAAGTCTTCAGGGTCCTGCTGGCTAATTTGTCTTCCCCAACCCCTGCCAGAAGGAAGACAATGGCTTTAACCTAAGAAGCATAATATTTGGCAGTCAGTCACTCAGATCATAGAATCAGTGGCTGGCAAAGGATGTTAATCCAAGTCCTATGTAAGAACTTTAGGCACACTTGCTCTAAGAATCACTAATGAGAAGCCTTATGCTTCCTAAGTTTCAATTCAAAAAAATCACATGGCACAAGTATATATTGGCTTATGTGTTTGATTGCTACCTGAAAGATTCTTAAAGCTTGCACATAAGTTAATGGTAAAAAAAACTAATGGCTACCACTGCCCCTATGAATAGCACAATCTTGAACTTGCCACCAGAGAAAAGCAAATATCCAGGACATTACTTGCTAGTTAAGTGAGTCTGTCACAGGAGAGGGCCGTGCCCTGCAAGTGAAGGCATGGAGGCCTGGAATTTGCATCTATAGTGAGTTTTCCTGCATATATGTATGCTATTGTCTAAGGGCTATGTTCACTGTTATACCTTCAAAGTGTTGTCTAAAGGCAACTGGTACATCTGAACCCTTTGCAGAACAGCATATTGGTTATTTATACCAATGATATCATATAACTGGCCCAGATGAACAAGAAGTAGCAAGTATATCATAGGTACTCCAGAGGGGGAGAGTCAAAATCCACAGACTCATGGGCTGTCACTTTAGAAAAATTTTAGGAGTCCAAGAGTTGTGGGGCATACCAGGACATACACCAGAGTAAAGGACACATCCTTTACTCTGGAAGCATGACAGCTAATATGTCTCTTCAGGTTCCGGAGGCAGCATATGCCACCTTTGGGAGTAATGTTCTGACTTATGTACCAGATGACACGAGAGGCTGCCAGCTTTATACCCAGAGTTGGAAAGGGCCCTGCTACTTGGGCCATACGACCTAGCATATCCCATGGTGGTAGAAGTGCCTATGATGAAGGTGTCATGCACAGCTTATGCTGTATTCTAATTCCCAATATAGATCTGTGTTATAGCAAGGGCATGCCTTCTGTGACAGAATTATATACCTTAGAAAAAAATAGCTTCCAGTGGGTATTGGAACAAAAGACCTGGGAGATATCACTGTAGTAAGTAGCTGTAAGCCACTCTATGGATGACCCTCTTCTACAGTTTATTAGGAGATAAAATACACAGAAAATAAGTATAGACTTCAACCGCTCTGTGGCAATTCTTCGAAATTCCTGGTCTGAGGCAAACTGACCTCCTTCATTTTTGAAATGCACCTTCTACTTAACTCATCTAGTCTCTGAATAATTTTTCTCATTACTTAACAAATAGCAATTTCCATACAGTTGACTTGCTTATTTCTTAAATCCTGACTTAGCCACACATTCTTGTTCATCAGCCAATAAAGTAGAAACTACTAACATCTCCCACAAGATTAAATACCTCTTGCAGTGTCTTTTCTAGCTCTTGGCAACCTAGGAGTCCTTGAGACTGAAAACTGTCATCATAAAACAGCTAAGGGTTCCAGGTAAATATCAATTGTTTTTTGCAACATTTGGAGCCTGAACTACATGGTCAACATGGCAAGACTAAGCTTTTATATCTCTGAAAAGCAGCTCCTCTGAGTACAACAGCATTTTCAGGAATGCAAGCACAGCCTGCAGTCAAGCATGCCTTCAGAACTCAGACTCCTAGCTCATGGGATTAGGGAGAAGATCAGCTCATCCTGGCAACTGGCTGTTGCTCCCCTCCTAGGATGGCATGGCCACGCTGAACCCTAGCCCTATACAGGGTGAGTCTCACATTTTACTCCTGAGGACTTCAATGTTGCTTGTCCTAGGCCTTTCCTAGATGACTTATTCTTTTACCAGCGTCTTAAGCTGGTAACTTCTGTCTTGTCTGTTTTACCACCTTAAGTTGCTTCTGCCCCATGTTCATGGAACCTACTCTGCTGTGAAAGTGAGTGAGCTTGCAGAAGAAGTTGGAAGGAATAAGTCACTCACAGCAAAATACTTTGCTAAATTGCTACAAAAGAAGGTAACCTCTGATATCCCTCTTCTCTTGCCCTCCTAACTGGGACATTAGTCTACTTCTGACACTATCAGAATATCCTGCTTGTGGGAGAAGGGGATATCTATCTTCCATCCCTGGGACTAGGCGCTCTGTCTATCCACCATTGTCAGAGAACCCTCTTGCCAATGGTGCCCCTTTTCCACTGCAGCCTCCCTTCCCTCTGCATCTGAGTTGAGTAAACCCTTTAATTACTTGAGCATTGGCTCTTTTGGTGTGTTTTTGACCCTTAAGGAAAAGAGCTGCAGACTTGGCAGTGGACCAAGTTGAGCCACAGCATAGACCTTCTGACTGCCCTTTGGGGAGGGCACTTTGTAAGATCCTTAGAGATTCGTTCTTTAGCCATCCTTTTTGAGGGCCCTAATCTTCGCTTCTGAGCTGCTTGTCTCTGACCTCTGGCTTGGAGAACAATGAGAATGATTAAGTTTTAAGCCTTGAAAATCTGCATTTTTCTGTTGTAAAAAGTATTCATGGCTTTTTCCCCAATAAGAAGGGCTCGGTGGAGGTGTTACCTCTACAACTCCAAGAATGCTACATGTACAGGGTTGTATGTATCCTGGATTCCACTCCTGTGTGAGTCTGAGTTGTATGAAGCCTGGCACCTAAATTGTATATCAGGTTTACTTAATACCAAGATCTAGTCAAGCATGTGCTACAATAACAAGCTGGTCAAGTAGTTTAGAAATCATTGGTAAATGTCATGCTGAAAGACTTCTGAGAGGTTGATTCTATGTTTCAGTCTCTTACGTACTCAAGAACTACTCCTTTAACATTTTTATGGGTAGAAATACGGGATCAAACTAGTAAGGAAGTTATGCATGAGAAGGATCTGGAAAAAGAGCTGCAACAAGCCTAACTATCCCCCAGACAGTCCTGCTTTACAAACTATTAAATGATGGTTCTAAGTATATTTAAGTTTTTTTAATTGAGAAGGAATATTAGAAACTTTAATATCATAGTGCTGATTATAGAATAAAAGAACATCAAATGTTTACTAGTGCCTTTCAAAATAGTCATAACTCTATAACAGATTAAATACTGAAATTAAAATCCTTCTATATACAGAAACCAAACTGTCTGGATCTTGCCGTATCTCTGGTCAATTCTCAGCATCTTTAAGTGATATTTTTTTATCCAGTATGTATTTAACCCAAACCTGTTTCCCAGTGATACTGCTCTCTTGGCCTTACTACTAACTATACTAATAGAAAGACTGAGTCAAAAGAAGCATGGAAGAACATACAGGGGATTGAAAAATGCTTTAATGATAGTTACCTCTACACTACAGGGTAGCTGATGGCATTATCTGTGCCTGGCACTGTTAGAGAAAAAAAAATTCAAGCACCACACTCAAATTAAGATAATTCAATGACGATTTTCCTACAAATGGGCAAAATTGCAAACAATATAACAACCCAGAGCTAGTAGCAACAAAAGCATCATCACCCAAAACTCAAAGAGGAGAAAGCATTGCATGCTAGAATCTAGAAGGCAGGAGTAGGCTACCTTGTGAGAAAGTGACCCTCTGTTAATAGACAGAGCTCACTAGAGGAAGCAAAAGGAAGGGTTGCCCTGAAATTCCCTTCTCTACTGTCTTACTGAGACTCCCATTTGGCCCAATCCAGACATCTCAGTAGTCCTGTAACATCTCTTATGCATGTTTGCCTCCTGAGAACAGAAAGCAGAATACAAAGGAGAAAGGAGAAAATATCCAACTAGGTACACACTACTTTCTGATATTACAAGTCTCACAAAGTTAAGTAAAATTTTCAAGCATATATTTTGATCCTCTTCAAGATAACCGTATGAATGGACTGCAAATAATGCTTTAAAAAGCTCATCTGCTTTTTCTGCAACCTGCTTTTCCAATTGTCTTACCTTTAATATACATTGTATCTGATGTTTTTTATATCCCATGGAAATTAGTTTCAAAGAATCCTATAACCCACCTGCCTGAATGTTTGACATGCTCAAATTTTGACACTTCTCATCCCCAAGTGTTGTATTCAGCAAAAGCGAAGACTTGACTTTGATACCATGAAGTTCTCTCCTATGCTTTTGTTCTCCACTGTTTTCATCATATACAAAGGATTTTCTTATCTCTTCCCTCTATGGCTCTACTTTCCATGATGTCTTCTACATTGTTTGCCAAAGCCTGCTTCACACCTGACATGCCTGCTTTATCTCATAAAGACTTAGCACAATACATATCATGGTACATGTTGGCATGTGGTGGGTTGGAGATGGCTTTAGTACTGTAGGATCAGCCTGAGTCGGCATGTTCCCCCAGTATAGCTCATGCCAGTTAGTTAAGCACATGTAATAGGAGTCACATGGGAATCCTGAACCTCTGAAATCTACATTGGTGACTGTCTTTGCGCAGGGCAAGGCAAGAGTGGAGGAACAAAAACCAATCAACCCTAAAGCTGTCTGGCAGCAATTCTTATAACAAATGAAAAGGTGATATCATTTACATATAAACCACTACTTGAATTTTGAGGTACCTGGTAAAACTAAGAATGCTTTCCTCCCCAAGTTATGTTGTAAAATTAGATCACATGTTGCAAACTAAGATTTTGGTTCCTTCACCCTTTCTCCCTCAATACAGGACATCAACTAACAGTGACCCAAGCCTTGTGTTTTCAGAGTGGAGGTGGCTATGTCTTATTCTAGAATTCTATGGACCATTGAAAGAAAAATAACTTGCTGTAGGTAAATATTGCTCAGAATCAGCTAAGAGCTCTCACTTAGTCCTGTAGTTCTGATACCTTGATCTGTTAAGGTTAATAACTGGGAAATACCCAAAATCCAATCTAGAATCACTTCCAACTTATATATAACCACAATAAGTCCTGACAGAAGTTGAGACTGGCTATGCAGAACTGGAAAACAGCACACTTCTGTCAGAGGGAAGCTTCTTTTGCCTATGGTAGTTCAGAAGGGCTACTTTTATCCAGTCTCCTGTTCCTTGGGGCCTATCTTGAAATGACTCTTTTCAACCAGGTTTAAAGCTAGTATTGCCACATGACTCTGATTTTACTTTCTGTGGGAGCCAATACAACATTGGTTGGGTTAAAGCATCTTTCGGGTCTTCACTGGGGTTGATAAAGTTCAGAGGTAGAATGCTCAGTCGGGACCTCCAAGAAAACACATGAAGAAATTTGAAAATTCTTTCACCAGCTCTGAAGTTTGGTTTATAAATCTGCACTAGACCCTAGACGGAGTTAGTACAAAATGTTTCTTAGGTTAACAGCTATGAATGGTAAAGGCGGAAGGTGTAGGATTAGGCAGGGAAAGCATGTGGATGTCTATGTAGGTTTGGCACCTACTGAAGGAGCTGCAGGCAGCCCAACAAGAAGCTCCAGCAGAAAGATTGCTCACAGAAGAATATTTGAGTGGAAATGGCCAGGCCCTGATTTCCAGGCCGTGCTCAGTTATTGGATAGGAGCTTCTGGGAGGAGCATGGCCTCAGTTGGAACACTGCAGCAGATCAGAGCTTGCAGCTAGGGGTCAGCTCTGTCTTGAGGGGAGCTCTGAGGAGTGTACCACCGTGGCTGCCACATGAGCAGCCAACAGCTGAATTATGGAGGACATGCCACGATCATTCTGATGCTGGTTTGTTAATAACTGAGTGTGTTAAATTGAGCAAAGCAACCAGATGACATGATTTCTTCGCACAGGTCTAGAATGACCAAAGAAACTTCTAAACTGAATGTGGAGTTTATCCCCAACAAAGCCAACCTGAGGGAGGAGGACCAGTTAGTCAAAAATTCTGTTCATGTTATCCTTCATTGGATTGAAAGAGCCAAGCTTTTATAAAGTCCTTGGCTTAGGCTATAGAAGCAGGCTGATTCTGAAAGAGTTTGACCTCAGGTGGAACAGTTCTCTGAAGCTGAGTTGGACCCTAAAAGGAGCTGACAGCTGAAGTCTGTCTTCTACCCTCTCTAGCTGGAAGAAAGTTTCCTCGAGGGAGGGGATCTGGACAGTGCATTTTTGTGTCTGGTACAGCCAGTTTCTTATCTGTAGGTAAGACCGAGTTACTCTGTTCTTTGGGGCTGCTTAGAGAAAGATATCCTAGGCATCCTACCAATGGCCCAGAATAATACAACCTACATCCATCCCGAGCCTGATGGCATCCAGGGAAAGTCAGTGCTAAGGCCTTATAGTAGTTAGGCTTCAACTACACAAGAAGGCAGCCATAACTTGGCAAAAGTGTACCCTGTAGTATTGTGACTGACTAGTATAAGCGGTTGTCTACCGTGAGTAGTGATGTTAAAAGGAGAATGCCCAAAGCTGGAATATTATACCCAAAGCTGGGTATTAGAAATCGTTAGAGTATCAGCCCTCAAGTTTGGGTGCGTGGGATATAGACTCTTGGCGTGTATATAAAGGATGACTGAATATGTGGGTGTGTTTAGCTACAGATAATGAAGCTGCTCAGAGTATAGTTATTGGGGGGATATACTGAGGCTTCAGCCTCCTCAGGACTAAATGCTTTACTCTCCATTGAAAATGCCATTAGGAGCCAGTCAATTCATATGGTCTAACAATAATTGAATGTGACCGTCTGGAATACTTAGAATCTTTCAGAAATGTCACCTGCATAGACCTTTCCCAGGCTGCCTTCTGCCTTCTCATGTCTCTCAATTGTATGCTTGACCTACTTTTCATTCTAGAGTATCACTCAGTTAAAAACTAAAGTGACACTTGGCTATGATAAACCTCTTATAAGTCATGGCCACTGAAAAGTTTGCCTTGCAATCAATAGTTCTGATTTCAGTAAAAAGTTTGAGGTTGAACCATGATCCTCGTATTAGAAGGATGTGTGTGTTTAGAATTGCAAGTGGTAACAACCAGAAAAGATAAAATTTGTCATTAAGTCTCCTAATCCTCTTTGACAATTTGTAGATCAGTGAACAGGTACTAGCCAAGCCCTATACAGTATTCAAATATTTTCTGCCCATTATAGGCTCTTTTCTACATGCCATATTTTTTCTAATTGCCAGGTCCTGTTGTATAAGAAGAAGATAACCAACTAATGGGGCCTACTATACTTCAGACTCCATTGTAGGCTCTGGTGATACTTGATGAATGCAAGAGAAATATTCTTGCTATCAAGAAACTTATTCCAATGTAGCATGAATGTAAGCAAATTCACTAGTCTATGTGAAAACGATCATACTATAAAAAGGGACCAAAATAAAGGGGTCAGGTGTGCCCAGGGTACAAGGATATAATTCTTAGGGTAGTCAGGGTTGAAATCACCAAAAGTGAGTCAGTAAAAATTTAGAGGTTAAGGAGTAAGCAGATAGCTAACAGGAGGAGGCAGCCATGAGCCAGATTCTGCTGGGAACTTCCTCAGGGGCATGTGGAGCAACTCTACCAAATTCCCAAAAGATGAGAGGCAAGAGGACTTAGACATCAGTTTGTCTCCTATTAGCTGAGATTTGTCTCCACCTGTTAACTTTCAATGTAGTATATAAACAAAATTTTCAGGAGTTTGGAATTGGTTTTTCTGACTCAAGCTTTCAAATTTCTTTACTAGACAAATAAATGCCTGTCATCCTTCCATTTGAGAAATTTAGCCACCTTGAGGCTGGTGCCTAAAGGGAACATGCTGGTTGATTATTCCTTTGACTATTTACTCCTCAGTTAGATAATCCTTCAGATCTGACTTCTAAGGCAGACTAGCAAACAGATGCTTTTCTACTTCAACTTAAGTGTAATAAGCATGCAGAAAAGGATGCAAATACTCAGTTGACTGAATTATCAAGTGCTGCTTCTCTTTTCTGCAGCGACTTTTGGAGGCCTCTGATCTTTTGAGACAGAGACAAGCCTCCTACTTCCCCACTTTGACTCTGTACCTTTCCCTTCAGCTCATCCAGTCTGTTTTGCTTTACCTGGCTAGAGCAGCTGTCAGTACCTAAATTATGGCTTTCCATCATATCTCTGAACTAGAGAGATCCCCACACTCTGCACAAAAGTACTAGAGGAACTTCTTCCCTGTTCTGACTTGGTGATCTATGTCCATGCCAAGAATTAAGGGTTTGTGGGGATCACATCATCCTGGGTATTAGCACACTTTGATAGCTGACTGTGTGCTTCCCCACCCCCCCCACACCCCGTTCCATCCCTCACTTTAAGTCCAGGTATTTCCTTAAGACAGAAGCTTCTAAGTCTCAAGTTTCCATTTTACTACTTAAGTTTTACTCCTTGAGTTTATTGTCATTATGGCATAAGGTTGTATTCACTTTCTGATACCAGCCAATTAAGCAAGAACCAATTTTTAAATAAGAATCTTTCTACCCGAAACAGACAGAAGCCCACTGGGGCAGCCAGGCTTCACACTTGACATGACAGTGCTTCATTTGAGTATGAAAATGTGAGAAGAGCCATAGTTTCTCTGGGCCTGCTAGAGTCCAGCCTGAGTGTTGAACCTGCCTCAGCCCCTGCCTAGGGTGGAGTGAGGTGGGTCACACCAAGTCAGGCTGAGGACAAGCTGAGGCAGTTGGTGCTGAAATATGATGGCAGTGGTCAGTCTCTTTTTGAGCAGGGTACTGGAGGACACGGAAGGCAGGAGGTCTAAGAATCTGGGAGGCATGTGAATTCCTACCATATAATCACCAAAAGGGTTTTACATCAAGCTAATAAAGGTATCATATCCTCATATATTCCTGAAGTAGTATAGAAATTCATCTGATACACACAGGTTCCTTTTGGTCATAAACCTTATAATTAGTGAGTACTAAATTCTCTCTAATATTATAGAATCGAAGCTAAAAGTAATTCTAAGGGTCACGGCAATTCCAGGCTTTTAGTGTAAAACCTGAGCAGGGCATATACCAATGTTTGAAGAAACCTAGATTTGTGGGCCAACTGAACAGACACCAATGCTTACCTGCACAAAAGGTGACTGAGTCAAGACTTGGTGAATATGTATATCTTCACTCAAATCCAGATAGAGCATGAGATCAGCTAGGTGATCTTGGAATCATTTCTTGCTGGGTCTGGTAGAGAAAAAGACAAGCCCTCAAATGTGCTTTTCATTCTATAGTCGTACCTGGCAGGAACCTGGAAGAGAAACCTGCCTCCTGGAGGCCATCTCTCCTGTCTTCATCTGCAACTGCCAGCATAGAAGATTGTACTCTAGGAATCACCAGCATGGGCACCAAAGGACAAACTCCTACATATTTAACTCTGCTACTCTTAGCTTACCAATGTGTGTCAGTCTAGGTCTTTCTGAAAAGACACCAAAATAGAATTGGACATATTAGAAAATGGCCCTTAAATGATAAGGTAGTAGAAGGTGGGAGAGCCTTCAGAATGGTCATGAAGGTTTATACCTATTAGGAAGAGTGGGAGAAGGCAGAAGCATTGAGTAGAAAGAACCTCTAACTGAGCTACAGCTCAATCTCACACAGGCCACTGTGGAGCCCTACAGCAGAATTCTGTATGGGGCAGGCCTAAGACTTAGACTGGGAGCAACCTGGGAAGAATATGGCCTTGACATGAACATGGAAGTAGATCCTGAAGGTATGGAAGCTAGAGGCCATCTACACACCTCCATGGGTGACACAATCAGTATTGAAATGGATATGGCCAGGCGCGGTGGCTCATGCCTCTAATCCCAGCACTTTGGGAGGCTGAAGTGGGCTGATCACCTGAGGTCAGGAGTTCAAGACAACCCTGGCCAACATGGTGAAACCCTGTCTTTGCTAAAAATATAAAAATTAGCTGGGCATGATGGTGGCTGCCTGTAATCCCAGCTACTCGGGAGGCTGAGGTGGGAGAATCGCTTGAACCCAGGAGGCTGAGGTTGCAGTGAGCCGAGACTGTGCCACTGCACTCCAGCCTGGGTGACAGAGCAAGACTCTGTCTCCCAAAAAAAAAAAAAAAAGAATAGATAATTGTTTGCTTGGTTTTAAACCAAGAAAAAAACAAATAGGTTTCATTTCAGGGACCAATGGTAGATGCCACTTAGAACAACATTGGGATCTCAATATATTATTCTATGAATCAAGACTGTTGGGTTGAATTATCAACGCACATTCTCAGAGAAATTCAGGATCAGTGCTTTCCAAATCCATGATTTGCTTTGCCTGTTCTGGAGACTTTCTTTCTCAAGCTGTGTCCCTCAAATTAATGAAGAGAATTAGACTTGCAAAGCAGTTTCAACTCTTATCTAAACACTGTTATTAGGCAATCACTTAGATTTTATGTTGACTCTTTCTTGCCATATCTTAGAACTGGCTATACAAATTTCATGTAGAAACGTAAATTTTAACATTTTAACTGTATAGCACAGTAGCAGAATATACAAAGAATATTAGTACTCATGCTTAGTTTTCACTGAATTTTATACTGGCCAAATCTGATAATTTGAATGTGATGTTCTTTATCTTTTTTTTTTTTTTTTTTGAGATAGAGTCTCACTCTGTCACCCAGGCTGGAGTGCAGTGGCGCAATCTTGGCTCACTGTGTTCTTTATCTTAATGTATGTTATACTTACACATAATGTATGTTATGTATTCAAAAAATCCAAATTCTCTTTACAATAGACATTGTGTATGCATCTATTTAACATGGTTAGGTAATATGGTATACCTGATAAGTTATCTTCATTTAGGCCCATTCTAATTATAACATCTGACTGAATGGCACTTAATACCTATAAGCACATCAGTGTGACTGCTGGAAATTCATAGTATTAAGGATAATATCCACACTGATAAGGCCATTTATAGGTAATACATTCAATGTGTTAGCAATTTTTGAAGAATTTATCAATTACATGAACTCAATTTTTCCACTTCTGAAAATTTAGATTTGGCAGAATATAGGGTTGTCACTATACATGACATTGGAGAAGGGCCAAACCTTTCTAGAGTTAGCAGATACGTTTTATATTCTGGTCTCCCTGCAGATTATAAGCATCTATATTGAAGAAATGAAGTTGTTTTGACTCATTTCTGAGCATTCCAAAATATCCAGGGTGGCTTTAAGTAAAAGGAAGACCTTGACTTAGGCTCAAGTTCCATAGTTTCTTGTCTTGTCCCTTTAGCAGCAAAGTTCTATTCTGGATAGAGGGACATGTACTAGCTCCATTCAAATCCAGGCTGTTGGATAGCTGGAATTTTGGCAAGCTGCAATACACCCTAAGTAATTTAGACGTATAGGGTCTTAAGAGATCATGGAACCTTAGTGGTAGCAGACCACAATTCTAATACAGTCATATTAGCCTACGGAATAAAAGATTATAGTGAAGAAGACCAAATAGAATATTCCAAAGCTCACCCTCTAATGGTTAAGACAGAAAATAAAATATTTATGCCCTGAAAAGAAATGACATTACTGTCAAAATTAAATTCCACTATTTCATCACATCTCCACTAAATCAGTCTGACCACTACAAAAGTCAGGATCCTGGAAAGATCCAGGAGAAATGAAGTGGACACTATAATCTTGAAGTATATGAGGTATCTGCTATACAGGTTTATACAGCCTCAGGGATACATTAGCATACACGTATAGTCCCAGGGCGATCTCCACTACTATATCTGCAGTCAAAATGTTGTCTGAAGGGACCTGGTATACCTGGACACCGCAGAATATCACATTAGTTATCTATATCAATGATATCATATAATTGGCCCAGATAAACAAGCAGTAAATCTGTCATAGGAACTCCAAAGTGTGAGAATTAAAACCTATGAAGACACATGGGTCTGTCACTTCACTGAAGTTTTTAGCAGTCCAGGAATTGTGGGACATACCAGGACATCCCCCCAGAGTAAAGGACATCCTTACATTGAAGAAAGAATGAAGGCTGACATGTCTCTTCAGGATCTGAAGGCAGCATATGCTACCCTTGAGAGTAACTTTCTGACCTACATATTGGATGACACAAGAGGCTGCCAGCTTTGAATGACAGAATTGGAAAGGGCCCTGCTGCTTGGACCGTACAACCTAGAAGATCCTATGGCATTAGAAGTGTCAGTGATGGCAGAAAAATATCATGTAGAGTTTATGGCATGTTCTAATAAAAATCCAACATAGATCTGTGTTACAGCAAGGGTATGCCTTCCATAGCAGAGAACTGTATACTATTAAAAAATAGCTCCTGGCATGCTATTGGACCCGCTAAAGATGAAGCATCTTATATTGAATGCTGAGGGACCCCTAGAACTGCCCATCCCACATGGGTTTCTATCAGACTCACCAAGTAATAAGTTCAGGTAGGCCCAGCAGTAATCCATCAAAAAATGGAACACACAGTTGAACACAAGGAAACCATAGTACACAATTATTTGGCTCAGACCACCATGTCATTCACAAACATTCTACTGATAGCACTTACTCCACTCACACCTATGGACATGTAGAGGATTTCTTATGACCAATTGACAGAAGTAAAAAAAAAGCTTGTCTCCATATGGGTCATCCCATATGGAGGTATAAGCAAAAAAGGACTGCTACTATACTATAGCTCAACTCATAACTTGAGAGAGAAATCATCCCAATGGGCAGAACATTGAGTAGCACATGTAGACATACTTAGTGGGGAAAAATACGTAATTTACAACATACACAGAATCATGGACAGTAGTGACTTGGCTAGCTGGTGAGGGACCTAAAACAACAAGTATTGGAAGATAAGTGTGAAGAAGGTCTGGGGAAGAGGCACATGGACATACTTACAAGAGTGGACACCACGAAGACTTTCCTATGACATGTTAATATCCACTATAGAATGCTTTCCACAGAGAATATTTACAATAAAGTATACAGAACGGCTCTTTCACTTGACATCACTGCTTTCCTAATAAGTCCATGAGTAGAATAGCTAGTGACAGAAATTAAGTCTATGCATGGGCCCCAAACCATCGGCTCCCATTCACCAAAGCTATTCTAACAACTGGTACCACAAAATACACAAATTACAAGCAACTAAAACATTCTGAACCTCTGAATATGGCACCACCTGTAGAGACCTGCTGGTCATTTGGTAGTTTGTTTTATATGAATAGACACATACTCCAGGTAAAGGTTTGCCTTTCCTGCCAGAAGGGTCTTGACTATTACCACCTATCTAAGGCCCATAGAATGTTGGTCCAGTGACAAAATAATGGAACAAGGGATTCACATTACAGCAAACTAGGCTGGCCATGAGCACATGACCATGGGGCTTACTGGTACTATTCCATATGGAACACCCAGAGCTCCAGGCTAGATGAAATGATAGAATAGCCTGTTGTTAAAAGTACAGCCAAGATGACAGCTTAAAGATGATCATCCTGGGAGGATTCTTAATCATATAGTAGGATATAACCTAAATTGATAACCATATAATGATTCTATATCACCAATAGCAAAAATACATGGAGGCTAGGAATGGAAAAGAGTGGCTCTACTTCTATCATTTCCTGTGACCAACTTTGGTAACCTGTCTCCAGTCTGAAACCCTGTGGTCTTGGTTCAGAGGCTCTTGTTACTAGAAGGCCAATCTTTCATTAGGGGACACAGTAAGAATCTCACTGTATATCAAGCAACGGCTGTCATCTAGTAACTTCAGTGCCCTTGTGCTTTGAGTCCAATTTGGGACATGCCTTCAATGCTCTGCCAAGCAGTTTACAACTCTGCCTTAGCCATAGCTCCTGCTCATGCAGAGCCTCAAGGCTAGTTGGAAATTCAGACCTTTTTGGGTCCTCCTGAGAATGCATACAACTCTTAGCGTGTGCATAGTTCTGAACATGTGTGTCACCTTCTAGATTCTCAGGAATATGTTGGAGCTTTCTTAAACTCTTTATGAGCATGTCATTTCCCAACTCCTTAAGTTTGGCCAGCTGCTTGATTACCCCAACTGTTATCACTACTACAGATGTTAAATGATATTTTTGATAAATGCCCTAGGGAAAAAGCTGTTTGCAAAGATTAAGCTAAGTCAGGTTCAATAAAGACAATTCCTATGATTGAAGATTTCCAGGAAATTGCCAGATAGATCAAATAATTATAGTCTAGAAACTGGTCTCTTTGGGAAGAAGCCAATCCCATTTTGCCCCTTCAGTGCTAGGCTATTTTTTCTGGCAACCATGATTATGAAGTTCTTGGTTTACTACACTACCCTGGATCTTGGGGAAAGGAAATGGAAACAGGACATGTCAAAGCATGAGTCTGCTGTTCTTACAAGATTCAGCTGTTCACGCCTATAATCTCAGCACTTTGGGAGGCCGAGGTGGGCGGATCACGAGGTCGGGAGATCGAGACCATCCTGGCTAACACGGTGAAACCCCATCTCTACTAAAAATACAAAAAACTAGGCGTGGTGGTGGGCGCCCGTAGTCCCACCTACTAAGGAGGCTGAGGCAGGAGAATGGCGTGAACCCGGGAGGCAGAGCTTGCAGTGAGCCGAGATCATGCCACTGCACTCTGGCCTTTGTGACAGAGCGAGACTCTGTCTCAAAAAAAAAAAAAAAAAGAAAAGAAAAACAGCTGAATTAATTTGACTTAATACTTCTCAGATTCTTGCTGGTTTTCTTAAACACTCCTCAAATTGTTGCAGATTTTGATTTCCAGAGTTCTTAGAGTTGATTTTGACTTTTTTTTTTTTTTTTTTTTTGACGGAGTCTCACTCTGTTGCCCAGGCCGGAGGGCAGTGGTGCAATCTCGGCTCACTGCAAGGTTCGACTCCCAGGTTCACGCCATTCTCCTGCCTCAACCTCCCGAGTAGCTGGGACTACAGGCGCCCGCTACCACGCCCGGCTAATTTTTTGTATTTTTAGTAGAGACGGGGTTTCATCGTGTTAGCCAGGATGGTCTCGATCTCCCTACCTTGTGATGCGCCCGCCTCAGCCTCCCAAAGTGCTGGGATTACAGGAGTGAGCCACCGCGCCCAGCCGATCTTGACAATTTTTTGCGAGTGTTATTACTTTTGATAAGGTCTGGATTTTTCATAGGTCCTTACTCTGCCGTTCTGGAAGTGTTATGCCAATGAAATAAATTTTTAAAGACTTAAGCAAATGGAGAGAGAGACCATGCTCATTCATCGAAAGACTCAACATTAAGTTCTCAGTTCTCCCCAAAGTGACCTATGAATTCTATGCAATCTCAGTCATACTCCTCTAGGCTCTTTAAGTAAAAATAAATATGCTTATTTAAAAATGCACATGGAAATCCAAAGGACCTAAAATATCCAAAACAATCTTAAAACTTGGACTCAACTGAGTTCAAGTCTTACTATAAATCTGTTGTGATCAGGATAGTGTGGCACTGACATAAGAATAAACAGGTCAAAGTTAAGACATTCGTCCGTACTTAATGGTAACTTTATATCTTTGTCAAAAGTCATCTTTTTAGTAAGTGGTGCTGGAAATCATCAGACATCCACTTAGAAAAAATAAACCTCAACCCCCACCCCATGTCACATCGTACAGAAAACTTAGTTCCAGATGGATTATACAACTAAACTTAAAATTACAATGCATCTAGAAAACCTAAGATCTTTACACTTGGAGATAGGAAGGATTGTTTTTTTAAAAAAGGATAACAGAATGAAATCCTATAAAAATACAACACATCAAAATCGGACATTCTCACCAAAAAAGATCATTAAGAAAATAGTCATGGTATAAATCAGGAGAAAATATTTACCAAACGTATGTCTGACAAAGAACTCATATCCAGAACACCAAAATAAATTCCCAAATTTAACAATAAAAAGACAGCTCAAACTCAGCAAAATATTTGAATGGAGACTTCTCAAAGACAGCCACAGAAATAGCCAGTGAAGTGATCTCCACATGGCAGAAGAGAAGGTTTCCGACTTACTCCCCCACCAACAGATGCACCAAATAAACATCCATTCACAGATCCAGGCCCTCTGAAAAAAAGTCAGAAATGAGTTGAAGCTGGCCGGGCACACTGACTCACGCCTGTAATCCCAGCACTTCAGGAGGCAGAAGCAGAGGGATCACTTGAGGTCAGGAGTTCAAGACCAGCCTGGACAACATGGTGAAACCCTGTCTCTACTAAAAATACAAAAATTAGCTAGGCATGGTGGCATGTTCCTGTAATCCCACCTACTCGGGAGGCTGAGGCAGGAGAATCGCTGGAGCCTGGGAGGTGAAGTTTATGGTGAGCCAAGACTGCACCACTGTACTCCACCCTGGGCAACAGAGCAAGGCTCCATCTTAAAAAAATAAATAAATAAAAATAAAAATAAAAAATTGCAGCTTCTATGTACCAGTCAGCTGAGAAAGTGAGAAAGTATTCACATCAAATGAGTAGAAAATAAAGCACACTCAGGTATGGACCCTGTGCCAGGGAGTATGCCATGCAATCACAAGAGTTCCCAACACCCAGCTTCTCCCTTAGGAGGGTTTGGAACACATTTATAATGCTCTAAGGCTCCCCACAGTTTGCATCTTCTCTCACCAACTCAGAGTAAAGAGTATACATGAGTCTCTCTAGATCATAGAAAGTGGCAGTCTTATGCAGGTATGCAAGCACTTCCAGTGGCTTCATCCCTCGGGATAAGGGTAGAGAAGGGGCTAAAACTCAAAGGTCTGTTTCTCTGGAAGAAACTTGCCAGCATGCTCTGCCAACTGCTACTGTTGGCAGCTTAGTCTGTATCAGGGAGTTAATAGATTCGATAAATAGTAGGTTTCTGGCAGCCTGAGCTGCCTCAGTACTTCTTGAGCTATCTCCGCAAGTTCACCCACGTGATAACTCGAGGTTTACTAACTCCTCCTTGAAGGAGCTTGTCCACACATCAAGAAACCCAGCTTTTACAGCTTACACCCAAAGGACTATATCTTAAACCTCTAAGCTCTGGAAGTAGAGAAGACTGGGAATGTGCAAGTCTCCCCAGATCACAAAATGAAGGGGTGGTTTTAAATGGGTGCACAAGCACTCCCATGAGCAGTACAGAGAAGGGGCTAAAAAAGCAGTTTCATGCTTCTCCCCAGAAGGGATTGACAGTGCACTCTTCCAGTGGTGACTTGACTGCCTGGCTTCTCATTAACCTGCATTAGGGCACTAAATGTGCAGACAAAAAATAGACCTGGTGTCCTGAACAGGAGCTCAGCATTTGCTGAGCCTTCTCTAGCTTGTCCCAGTGATAAATCCAGGTCTTCTCATCCTTTCTAGAAAAAGCATATATGTGCACTGAGTGCCACAACTTCCGTAACTTTCACTAAAGGAGGGACTGCTTTAACAACCTAGCTGTGGAAACCGTTGGGGCTCTGTATTTCCAAGTCTTCCTAAACTGCAGAAAACAAAGGTGGACATAAAGTGAGCCCACTTCCAGTGGCTATCTCAAGATCAAAGGGAAAAGTCTGAATGTGAGTACAGGCTTTTGCCACCGATTCTCTCCTCAACTTAGTGCAGAGACAGTAGGAGGTAAATATCTGGTCCCAGCTTCACCATGAGTATAGAAGGAACTAGAACATCTAATACCCCAATCTTTTCAGCTACATCTAGAGGGTCTGGCTTCAAATTTAACTGTCTCTTCTGACAGGACATGGCACATCCTGATCTCCTGGGGGCCACAGAAAAAGTTTGGACAAACACTAAGATTTGAGAGGCAATTTAAAACCTCTGGCAAGGTTAATTAGTGAGATTCTTCTCAATAAGTCCACTCTGACAATATTGGGATAAGCAGTTATCTAAAAGAGAACATACGGTAAATGCTTCATGACATTGGTCTGGGCAGTGACTTCTTGGATGTGACCCCAAAAGCACAGGCAGCAAAAGCGAAAATAGAATATGGGATTGCAAAAAACTAAAGCTTCTACACAGAAAAAGACAATGAAGGAAAAACCCACTGATCAGAAGAAACTACTTGCAAATAATAGGATAAGGGGCTAATATCCAAAACACTAATCTGAAACTATGCAATAACAAAAATAACCCTTTTTAAAAATGGGCAAATAATCTGAATAGACACTTCTCAAAAGACATACAACTTGTCATATGTGAAAACATGCTCGACATCCTTAATCCAGGAAATGCAAATTAAAACCAGGAGATCACCTTATACCTGTTAGAATGGCTGTCATCAAAAAGATAAAGTGGCTAGGGTGCAGAAAAAGGAACCCTCATACACTGGAAATGTAAACTAATATAGCCATTTTAGAAAACAGTATGGCAGTTCCTGAAACTAAAAATAGAATTACCATATGATCTAGCAGTCCTGACTTGGTATATATCCAAAGGAATTGATCAGTATGTCGAAGATCTGCACTCCCACATCCGCTGCCACATGATTCACAATAGCCAATGTATGGAAACAGCCAAAGTGCCTATCAATGGGTAAATGGCCAAATAGTTGTATATATACACTACAATACCACTCAGTCTTTAAAAAGAGAATTGCCATTGACAACAGCTGGATAAACATAGAGGACATTGTGCTAAGTGAAAAAGCCAGGCACAGAAAGACAAATACCACATGATCTCACTTATTTCAAATCTGAAGGTCAAACTCGTAGAAGTACAGAGTATAGAATAGTGGTTGAGAGGGGCTGAGCAGGGGTGGTAGATGGAGAGATGGAAGATGATGGTGGTCAAAGGGTACAAAGTTGTTAGGAAGAAGTTCTGGTGATCTATTGCACAGCATAATGACTACAGTTACTAATATATCATATTTCAAAACTCTCATCAAAAAGAAATGTGTATAGTGATATAATTAGCCTGACTATAGGCTATTATAGCCTGATATTATATATTTAGCCCATAAATACAATTGTCAACTAAAAACATTCTTAAAAAGCTAATGAGCACACAAATGCTCAACTATTAGCCATGATAGAAATACAGATAACTGAGTTCTAGGTTATAGGAATATACCCCTTTCAAAACTCACATGGCAAGTTTTATTTCATGATGTATCTTAACTGATACTATACAAATGTGGAATTCTTTAACTTACATGGTTCAGAGGTAAAATGTCTGATTCTAAAACTAGGCAATGCATTTCTAAAATGTTGCATTAAGTGAACAAATACTTGTTGTAGAATTTAGGTTATAGACACAGTATTTGCTGTATCATTCACCTTTTCTGTATATTTATCAATTTCATAAAATGTTGGAAAAATAAGTAAAATACAAATAGAGGCTAGATTCGTTTGTGCAGGTTTCGATCATAATCCTGAAAGACAAAACTCCAAATGCCATAATGCCAAATGTTAGAATCTTGAAGGATCAAAATCCCACAAGTTACTAAAATTCAATTACATTATTTTAAAATGTTACCATTAATTTTTACAGCTTGCTATGCTATGTATATCATCTTTGCATCATTTCCAATACTGAAGGTATAAATTGTATAATTCTAGAGTTCTAACATATATTTTTGCAAGTTTGACTCCATGAAAGTTATCACATTAGCTGTGTAATTAGTATGTGTAAACACTGAAACTTAATAAATGAAGAGATGTCCTCTTTGTACATCTATATTTGTGAAAGATAAAATTTCTCCACCTCAGCTCTAAGAGTGACTGCATATGAAGTTGTGACCCATTGTGGGTTTTCATTGATCTCATCAGAAAACTTGAGTTATCTGCCATGGTATTTCAGATAACCAAAATTATAAACTCAGATGCACACAATTGTAAGTGATATGCACTTACATATTTCACTTTATGACCTATTTCTTTATGAACATGGTTCCTCTGCTCATAACTGTTATACCCAGGCAACTGTCACTAGTACACCTGAGTGTTCATGCTTGCGAAAAATGTTAGGTTATTGCCTATTTTGTGTAAAGTGACCTATGAAGTATTGTTGTGGTTTTGTTTCTCAAATCCTCCTTTATAAATGTAAATCTCCTTAAATTTCTCATTTTTCTTCCAGAATTTGATATTTTGATCTGTCAAGATTATTTAGACTTTAGGGAGTTTGAGCTTTCAAGATTTCAACATTCAGGATTATGGTGTTTGGGACTCGTGTTTTTACGGGGGAGAGGGGCGGGGGGCAGGATGTGGATTATGATTGGTTCATTTGTACAACTGTTTGTATAGCCACAACTGGTATTTGGCTTGTTTTCTACCCATTTCCTGTTATCCCCTGGAGATCAAGTACAACTTTGATTTATGTGCCACTTCAGATCAGCCCCCACCTGCCCTATGACCCCTGATTTTTGCCCCAGGCTGCTACAGCCACAGTGACAACTTCACCTATCTGAGTGAATGCCTGCTTTCTATCACAGTTGGCTGTCTCTCCGTCCCCCAGGCAAAGATTGACAGTCTGCAAGACCTCCATCTCCCTTCCTGTCTGGGGGTGATGAGAAGCTCCACTGCCTAGATCTAACTAGATTGCAACCACAGAGGATTTGGCTTCCCTAGTGTCCTAACAGCAGAGCCAGATTATCCAAAAGCGTGGAAGCATGGAAGCGTGGAAGCGTGGAAGAGCTCACACCCCCACGAGTCCCACTTTGAAGAGTTGTAGGAAAGAAATAGAAGCATTTCATCCTTCATCAAATTTAGGGGGTCCATGTGCCTTTCTCTAGGACTCACCTGTGACTAAGCAATTGGCTACAGAGCTTTTTTGAAGTCATGGCCAGCTCAGTAATACCCCACATTTTATGTGCTTTTCCTCCTTTCTTCCCCACTTCTACCCTTCATTCTTGCTTCCTTGGGATTGCATCTCCAATGTGTGAGCTTATGTTCCCTAGAAAATGGAGCCGGAGGCAGATCAAACACTATTTTGCTTGTTCTGCAGCTATGTTTTTGTTTACTTCTCCAGTGCTCTCTAAACTATACAGAGTAGTTCCACACAACTGTACTAGAGAATCTAAATAACCAACAACAGGGAAATTGTTAAGTTATGGCAAAAGTATGATACAATCATCCAACAAAAATATTTAACATTCAGAACATATAAAATTTTGACAGCATTTTTATTAAATATATTTGCATATTGAAAAGAGAAATTAGCTGTAAAATCAACAATGAAGAGACAAAAATAAGAATATTCATAGAAGCATATATATGATAGCCAATAGCTTGGAAACAATCCAAAAATTTAAAAGTAGACTCTTTCTTAAATTTTGTGTCATAAAATTAGGTTTGCCAGATGAAATAGAGGATGTTTATCTTAATTTTAGGTAAATATCTTTTAATGTAATTATGTTGCAAATAGCATAGGACATTAACACCAAAAGTTACCTAAAATTCAGGACACCAGGTTAAATTTGAATTATTTGCTATATCCGTTAACCCCATGTAACAGAATACCATACAACAATCAAAATGAACTATAGCTACATGGAGCAATGTGAATAAATTAAGCAATATTGAGCAAAGATGTGATTCTCCTTGCACAAAACTTGAACTCAGGCAAAACTAAACAATAGCTTAGAAATCTTCAGAATAATGGTTACAAGGTGAAGGAAGGAGAGGGTAGTGATCTATGGGGAGTATGATTACCTCCTAGGTAATGTCCTCTGAGCTATTCGGGAGATGTGGTTACACAAAGATTTTCACTTTGCTTTAATTCACTGAGCTGTAACTTAATGGATTTTATACTTTTCTACATACATGATAACTTAGTACAGTGTCTCAAGGTTAATAGTAGTTACTTGGACTGAGTTTTCTTTGCATTTTTCTATATTTTTAAACCTCGAATCTCAGACTTGGATTACTACTTATAATCAAAACATTGAAGCAATATTGTACGTAATGATGCAACTTAATCTATCTTTGGGTGGACAAAAAACATTCTGCCACAAAGTTTGGCCATGGACTCTCTCAATTGGAAGAACTCTTCAAATATTTTAAGATGAGTTTGTTTTTAATCAGCATATCCTTTTGTTTTCCTCCTGCCTCTTCACCATTCCTCAATTTGGAGTATTCAAGGGAAAGAAAATACAATGTCCTCCTAGTGGGCTGCAAAAGTTTTTGAGACATCAGGAATGCCTTTGAACTCTTGTCAAAAACAAATTTAGAAATATAAACAACCTGTCTCAACATAGGTTCAGCGCCTAGAAACTAGGCAAAACCAAGACTGAATCCAGACCTGACTAGTCATATTGGGCAAGACATTATAGCCCTCCAAACTTGAATTCTCTCACTTCAAAATCACTGAAGCTTCAATGTAAGGAGTAACACGCTTAGCCTAGTGCCTGGCACAGAGCAGGCCTTTAAGTATTGACATGATAACCCCACAATTGCTTTGAAGGTCTCCAATGGAGGGCTCTTCCTTCAGCCACAAACTTCCCATGGACCTGGGTTTGCCTTTCTTCCTCCTACTGGCAGCAGGCCTGAGATTGATTTACTCGCAATTTCTTCCTTCCTTGATGTTTAGCTATAAAATACTCCGTGAAAATGGGAGGCTGATGAAATTATGTAAGTTAAGATGTTTTCTTCCCAAGCCCTCTGATTCATTCCCAGAACAATCATCTGAGAAGAATACCTTGCCAGATAGACCAGCATCTTTGTAAATCTTGAGCAATGACTGTGAAACCACCTAAACTACAGGATGCTTATGTTTTAGTAAAGCAAAATATCTGCTCTGCCCGCACCTAATTAAAAGGGCTGATTTCACTATAACACTGTGTCACTTGGCTGCCCTCCATGGTCTGTCTTTATGAATATGCTGGGGAGAAAGGGATGAGAGATGTGCTTCATTTCATTTCTCAAACTCCCAGGAAACAGTAAAATGAGAGAAACAGCAGTCTGAGATGTTGGAGATAATTGCTGCTTAATTCTGGATTTGGTTAGTTAATGAGCACTGTACAGAAGGCATATGACAAGACCTCTTTTACAGCACAAACTGTCACTGTATATATTGGGTATGTGTCGTCTCTGTGTATTTTTGCAAATTACATTTTTCAGTGTAAGCAGTAATCCTGCCAAACAATTACAGTGTTTACAGAATCTGATGTAATCCATCTGTTGAAAAGGCTCTTCTGTGTTTAGGCTGATAAAATATAAAACAGTTGGTGAAGACTTAACAAAATCCATAGATCTTTATTCTGCAGGAATATGTTATGTTTTTGTATGCCATACAATGGCAATTCATGGTGAAAAGCTTCCAGAATCCTGTTGGACTCTGAGAAGTTCTGTGAGATAGAGTGGCCAGCACTCATGAGGCCTAACTGCCGTCCTGAATACATTACCTTCTCACTAGCAACTGAATACCAAGGCATGGTTAGGTGCACTTGAAATACAAAGTAGAGTTGACCCTTCGACAATATGGTCTTTAACTGTACAGGTCCACTTACATGCAGACTTCTTTTCAGCCAAGCAAAAATCAAAAATATAATATTCTCAATATTTAGAATCTGCATATATGGAAGGCTGACTTTTTGTGTACATGGGTTCTGCAAAGCCAACTGCAGGACTTGAGTATGCATGGGTTTTGGTGTATGTGGGGGTCCTGGAACCAATCCCTTGCGTATACTGGGGAATGACTGTGTCCAAGGTACGTATTCTCAGCTGGGTGCAGCACCACATGCCTATAGTCTAAGGAACTCAGGAGGCTGAGGAGGAAGGATCCCTTGAGGCCAGGAATCCAAGGCCACAGTGTGCTATGATTCTGCTTATGAATAGCCACTGCATTCTAGCCTGGGGAACATAGCAAGACCTCATGTCTCGAAGATATAGACATAATACATATCCTCTGCCCTCTTCTGGCATTCTTTTCTTCTAAATTTGGCATAACGTTAACAGGAAAAGCAACTCAAAGCATCTTAGTTGAATGTCCCCTCTCCCATGAAAGGTGTTTTGTTTTGGTTTTTTTTGTCTTTTTTATTACTTGTAGGGTAAGATGAAAAAATAAACTAGATGTTTTACAAATGTTAACTTTTTTGAGACTGTGTCTTAGTTTGTGTTCCCCAAGATGCAGACCGTGAGAGAAAGAAAGACTTGATTTTTGTTTCAAGTGGTTTATTAAGGAGGTGCAGAGAACACTGGCAGGGGATTCAAGAAGTGATGGAGAATACAGCCAACTACTATATTTAGCTACCACTATGGGTAACTAGGGCTTAATCTCAGAAATAGCATAGTACACACCTTTTCAGGATTATCCAAACTGAGAGGCAAGGGAGCTGGGGTATTTGTGCACCAACTCTCATCCATCACTGGTAGACTGCTGCTGAGCAGTGGTCATCCTTCAGCGTTTCCAGCCTCCCGCATGTGGCATCAAGGCAGCTTCTGAACATAGACATGTAGGTGCTGGAAGTTGGAAGTGGAGTGAAACACAATAAAACAGTAAATTCTAAGAGATAAAAGTGGGCACCAACAATGCCTGCTTTATTCTATTTCCATCTTCTGTTTTTGAGGAACTATTAATACTACCCATACTGACTCAATATTTCTATTCACGAGGGTTATGTGGGCAACAAAAATACAAAGGGGGATGGGATAGAGAAGACATGTCTTGATGCCCTCTTGGCATAGCAAGCAGCCTGTTTTTCATAGGTGGTACAAGTATTTGCTATAACCCATAGGGAGGAAGAGGGAAGAATCTGAGGATGTGGTAAGAGGTACAAGTTACCCCCTTGAATCTGTGGCTATATTCTTCCTGCCTTTTTCACATGGTGATTACAAAGGTTCTTTGAGTTGAGTTGCTTCCTTAAGACTGTACGACAAATGAGTAATGCCAGGATTCAAAAAGTCCATCTGATAGAAAAATTTGTGGATAATTATTGCTCACGAGATACCATACCTTAGAACAGTAGAGATGTACATGGCAATTTTGCTCCTCAAGGGACATAATGATGACTAGAGATACCTTTTGGTTGTCACACTTGGAGAGACATTACTGACTCTAGGGAACAGAGGCCAGAGATGCTGCTAAAAGTCTTAAAGTGCATGAGACAGCCCCCTACAATGAAGAATTATCTGGTCCAAAATGTCAATGGTATGAGGTTGACTTAAGAAGCCCAAAGCCAGTTTCCTCATCTGTCACAAAAAGGAAGAGCTATAAATTACCTACTTTCTAGCAAGTGACTCTCATATCTTAACTGTGCTTAAAATGCAACACTAAAGATCTGAGAATCAGAGCCCTAAAGATTCTAATTTAAGTAATTCTGGAAAAGAGCCCCAAAATCTGTTTCTAAAAAGTACTCCTAGTTATTTGAGGTGGGCCATACTTTGAGAAACTTCATTGTAGGTTACCATCCAGGATGCTAAAAGTGTTTATCATTTTAGTACTTAATGTGCTTGAAGTACCTCTCAAGTGTAAGCTGCTATCATCACTACTTGTGCTGACTTAATGGAAAAGCCCAAGCAGAGAAGTCAGAATCGTCCAGAATAATCAGATCAGGAAGCTGATAGAGGCAAACATCAGACAGGGCTATGAAAACATCTGGTGACTATAATATTTAATGCCCTGCCCTGATGATGGCTTTGTGACTGGTAGATTGTAGGACTTGAGTTGCTGTACAAAATCTTAGTTAATGCTGTCTATAAAATGCTAGAAATGGAGTGCTTATAAGAGCAAGATTGTTTGATTTATTTCTGTATCTCTAAAACATATCATGTCTGCCACAGTCAAGATTTAACAAATATGCTGTTGGCTAGATCAAGTGATAGTACAGTGAGGAAGTAGAGATATTCTAGTCTTACAACTGCCTAGATTTCCCAGATTTGGAGGTTGGAATGGGGCTCCTTCACGCTTAGTGACTGACAGTCACCCCAAGGTAATCCAAACCCTTCAAGATATGGTGACAAGATTTGGTAGAGTCAACTGTTAGACCTCACCCAGATCTTCTTTCCTGGGCTGGCATGAGTAGGGGCTGCTAATGGCTCAGATGCATACTTCTCCAGAAAACTGCCCTCAGCTGATGAAAGCCACTTCGTCTTGCTGTGCTGGCCCCAGAGTGGCTCAAGACCAAGCACTGCCTGGTTTCAAGATACAAAAGCACAGATCCCTTGCCTCAGGGTTGGACATTACTATAGTACCATTCATGTTACTGTGCCATGACTATGGTACCATTCAGAGATCAAGGGGTCACGTTCAAGTAAACTTCAGCTGAAACCATATCTTTGCTTACCCCTTCCTCTGCCCTAATTTCCCCCCTTACCTCCTGATACGGTTTGGATGTTTATGTCCTCCAAACCTCATGTTGAAATATGATCCACAATGTTGGGGTGTTTTGATCATGAGAGTGGATCTCTCATAAATGGCTTGGTGCCCTTCCCATGATAATAAGTGAGTTCTCACTCAGTTCATGCAAGAGCTGATAGTTTGAGTCTGGCATCTCTGTTGCTCCCTCTCTTGCATGCATTATACCTGCTCCCCCTTTGCCTTCCACCATGAGGGAAACCTTCCTGGGCTTCGTCAGAAGCCAAGCAGATGCTGGTTCCATGCTTGTACAAGTTGCAGAACCATGAGCCAAATAAACCTCTTTATAAATTACTCAGTCTTAGTTATTCCTTTATAGCAATGCAAATGGACTAACACAGCTCCTTACGGATTTCTCTTGAAAGCATTCCCTTAAATCACTTGCACAAGAATGGCTGGATTTGGGAAACCTGGCATAAGGCACTGAATTCCAGGAGTGAAGGTCAGATCCACATGAGCACATGTGCATAGAGCCAACTGACTCTACCATACAACATACCACCCAGAAGCTTGCTGACCTGATAGAGTAGTGAAGCAACCTCTTACAGGTACAGCTGAAGTGCCAGCTCAAGATGATACCTACCATACTATCCTTCTGGATACAGAATATACCCTGAACCCACAGTCACTATATGGTACTAGGTTCTTACTAGTAAAGCACATGAGTCCGGGAATCAAGAGGTAGAAATAGAAATGTCCCTCTCACCAACATTCCCAGTGATTTATTTGGGGACTTGTGATTCTCTGTAACTTCAGGATTTATGGATCAGGAGATCCTAGTTCTCATGTGGAATGTTTCCACTAAAGAACAGAGTCCCACTAATCTTAACACTATGACTGATGCCTGGTCACTTTGGGATCCCTGTGCCTGTACAAGGAGTTATCATGCTGTAAGCTAACTACTATCAGTCCTGCTCATCATGACGAGATAGAAACTGTAGCCTCACGATAAAGGCAGATGAAAAAGTTCAGCACCCAGATAATTGACTGTGGCATCTTTTGGTATTTCCATGGTCATTGTCGCTCTACGTGGTCAAGCACAGGAATAATGGCCTGATAAGGGTATAGTAACCAGGGTCCAAGATTCTTCAGAGAGTTCACATCACATCAGTTACACCCATCTAGACTAGTGGAATTGCATAGCCAAGTGGAAGCAGAATATAGTTAGGTGGTAGAAGAGAAAAATATGTATATTACTGGCTTTTGGCTCAGTCATAGCAGTGGAGGGTCTCATTCATCCCACCAATATTGCCCTTCTAAGTTTCCCCAGAAATTGTCACCAACCAGAATCCTAGAGAAACTGTGCCAGAATTGAGTAAACTTCATGTGAGCCGTAGAGCTGAGTGGTGGGCTACAATACATGATAATGGTGTCTTACCCAGATTTTTTATTTATTTATTTATTTATTTTTTATTTTTATTTTTTTGAGAGGGAGTCTTGCTCTGTCACCAGGCTGGAGTGCAGTGGTGCGATCTCAGCTCACTGCAACCTCCACCTCCCGGGTTCAAGCGATTCTCCTGCCTCAGCCTCCCAAGTAGCTGAGACTACAGGCATGTGCCACCATGCCCAGCTAACTTTTTGTATTTTTAGTGGAGACGGGGTTTCACCATGTTGGCCAGGATGGTCTCAATCTCTTGACCTCATGATCCACCCACCTCGGTCTCCCAAAGAGCTAGAATTACAGGCGTGAGCCACCATGCCCAGCCCCCAGATCTTTTTTACTGGTACAAGCATCTTCTAGCTGCTTTGTTTGCTTAGAGCTCATAACAGCCTCCTTCTCTAGGGAATTTCTACATCTTCCTGAAGTCCCTAGGAGATTACACTTGCCCTCTTTAGGGCAGTCTACAGCCTATACCAATAAAAGATAACACAATCCCCTTGCCCCAAGGTGGGACAACTCTGTAATACCACTTATACTCCAGTGCCCTTCATAGAAAGAAGGCTGAGATTTAACTTCAATTGACATCACATCTTTGAAGTTCTGCTCTATTCTTCGGGTATTTCATCACTAAGTCGCTTTTACAAGAATAGTCTTTCTGGCTCTGCTTCAAAGGAACACGGCCTAAGGCAAGGTACTTCAATCAAAACAACAGTCTTCTGCCTTCCTTTGAGATGCAGAAGTTAATCCAACACTTAATTTGCCGGATGATAAAACTGAGATCCTGAGAGGTTAACTGAATTACTCATTTAGTAAGATGCAAATCTGATCTTGAACCTGGATAAGATTCAAAGCCTTTTCCCTTTCCACAGCAGTATTTCTGCCGATTGCCCAGGCTATCTCTTACAGTAGTAGGACTCACACTGCTTTGTTGCCCTATCTCACCACCCTCTTTATCTGGCCTGGCTGGAGAAGGGTAGGCCTGGTCAGGAAGACGAGAATAAGATAACCATCAATGGAATCTTAGATGGTCACAGTAAACTAGAAATGGCACTCTGGAGGTGTCCATTCAGCTCCAGCTGTGTGCACAGCTCTAACCTAGCATTTCTATTGGAGCTAGGCACATCAATCTGATGTCTGGATATTTCTAGTTATCCCTCAATTCCAAAGATGGTACAAATTACATTTCATCAAATATTGACCATTCTATCAAAGTTCATTTGGGCCCATCTCAAACTCCCAGTCCCTTTTCTAGCCATGACTGGTGCTAGTGAAAGTGAGGTATTTGCATCTCTCAAAGTACCATGTTTACTTGGATTTACTCTGTTCTAGTCTTAAATGGACTTTGAGAGATGGAGAGTACTCAATGGACAGAACAAGGAGATGGAGCCCAGCACTGATGGGAAAGGTTATGACTCATTTGCAGGGAATGAACAATCGTGCAGTAAGCATGCATGTTGATGTCCATCTCATTCCACAAATCCAATTGCCAGGCAGGCTTTGTGCAACATATGATATGTCTCAAAGCCGGAAGGGGCTGGACTTCATATGCGTGGGCTGATCTGGGTCTGGGAGACCGTTTGGTAATTTGAGACAGGAGAAGGTATTTAAAAAATCACTCTGGGCCAGGAGCAGTGGCTCACATCTGTAATCTCAGCATTTGGGGAAGCTGAGGTTGGCAGATATCTTGACCCAGGAGTTTGAGACCATTTTGGGCAGCATGATGAGACCCCATCTCTACTAAAAACACAAAAAATTAGCTGGATGTGGTGGTGTGTGCCTGTAGTCCCAGCTACTCGGGAGGCTGAAGTGGGAGGATCACCTGAGCCCAGGAAGTTGAGGCTGCTGTGAGCCATGATTGTGCCACTGCACTCCAGCCTGGGTTACAGGAGTGAGACCCTTCTCAAAAACAAAAATGCTGGTAGCCAATGTGGGGAAATAACTAGAAAGATTTATGGATGTTCTTTGCTGTCCAGTCACAGCAGACTTGTATCAAACAAACTTTATGAACCTTCCCAGATTCTCTTGATTCCACCCACTCCCTGGACTCACAGCAGCTTGTTCTGCTCAGCTTGACTAACAACCCTAGGATCCACCTGAGGCCAACAAGTCACTTGCTCTAAGAATGCCAGAGTTGCCACACCATAGCCAGGCTGACCAGCTGCATGCCTGGAGTTTCTGGCTCCACTTGATATTTCTAGTCTAGGGTAAATCATCACAACTGAGCGCATGGGATCTGGCTGCCTAAGTAGCTGAAAGAGGATCCAGATGACACAACTTCTGTATGGCAAATTTTGACCAAGAGGAAACAGGACATGGGAGGTCACTGGGGAGATAAAATCTGTTCCATCATAAATTATTGTCAGGTGCAGTTTTTTTCTCATGGCTTCTCCGGAGAAGTCCCACATGCCATGCAACACGTGCCAAGCAATATGCTGTGTCTCTTCAGTTTATCATAAAGCAGTTGCCAGCATGACCATGTATCACTTCACATTGCTTCAATACTTCCTTGCCTCACATCCCTTCTGCCTCATCCTTGCTGCCCTAGTTTTGCACTCTTTAATTAAATCGTCACCATTTTAACTCTTGTTGCAGGCTCTGCTCTCTAGGGAACACTGGCTCACTTAGTTTTAGGCATCTTCTGCCTGCTCTTGGTTTGGTGAATTTCCCACCTATCCTTCATTAACACTTTTTTTTTTTTTGAGCCTTTTCCATGACAATGACTGCCCCCTTTCCGGCAAACTGAGTCAATTCCCTTTTTTATATGATTTTATAAGAATTTGGAACCTCATATCTCCTAGCACTTAACATTTATTGGCTTTGGTATCTAACAAAGTATGACATGTCTCATGCTCTGACTTCCCCTATTCACTTAATCAGGCCAATCCTTACTATGAGAAGCTCAAATACATTGTTTGTTTTACAAGCATCATCCACAATGGTTCTCCTAGGTCTGTTGCTCAGATATTTATAAAATAAGTATGGGGCAAGAATGAAGGAATCTAGTCAGTTACTCTAGTTGGCTAACTGGGTTTCCAGGAACCATCTTAAAAGGAGCTGGAGTAGTTTCATGTAATTAGGGCAGCTGGCTCAGGAGCAAGGAGGATCAAACAGATTTTAACATAGGAATAATTGAGTGGTTCAGAGCACCAGCCAAGGGCAGCTCTTATATAGGCATTGAGTATGGTTACATGTGAATAAATGCTGCCCCTTTAAGATGACAAAACAATGCTTCCCAGACAACCTTCCTCTGACCTTAGAGTGCTGTCTTGGCTGTTTGAGGTTAAAGAAGGGCTCTTAATATTTACAGTCCCAGAGGAAGGTGATGTTTTAATGGGCCATAATGAAATGAAAGCTGCTCAAGGGCAGGGGTTATTTGATTATCTCAATTCCCAAGACCCACATGCTAGGTGCTCAGTGACTGTTTCTTGAGTTAATGACTATCAGAAGACTCCACGGACCAAATTTTAAAATGGTTTCCAACAGGCTTATTTGTATAACCAATTTCTAGTATAGTGTTTAATTAAATTGCCTAGGAACCATTATATGCACAGTCAAAGCTCATTCTTTTTACTAAGGGAATTTACAATACTCTGGAATAGATGGACCTCTAAAACTGACAGGGAAAAAGTTAATGTAAATATTCACAGTCCCTTTGCTTCAGTCATACTCTCTCCCTCTGTCACATATCCTTTCCAGGAGAATTCAGTCTTTATCAGCTTAGTTCCTGAACCCTCTGTTTTGCAGAATTTGGTTAATTAGCATGGGAGAGAACTGAGGCACTGCATGACCAGGGTAATAATTTATATTGGAGAGGGCAAGCATTTAGTGGCAGAAGAGAAACTAACATCCAGAGAGTAAGTTAGATGTGAGCCACTGAAGGTCCAGGTTTGAAAATATGGAAAGTCTGGAACAAGGGAAGAGACTGCCAAACATCTCTGCATGTGAGAGAAATGGGGGGAATCTCTAGAACATGTGGCAACATATAGAACCTCTACCTTTTGCATTTTTGAAGTACTTCTAAAAATGTGAAATAATTACTGACTTTTTTTCTTAAATGTGACATTCTTCTAAGGCTGAACCACTAGGCAACTCAACTTTACTTGGATTATAATTAATCTTAATTCTACCAGAGAATTCAGAATCATGACTAGTTTTAAGGTGGTTTTTAACCAGTACCCACTATCTCAGAGAAAGTAACCTATTATGAGATACTGATATGTACATTAGACTGATATGCACATCAGATATCAATTTCTTCTAAAATGAGAGCTAAGATTTTTTATCACTATTTTTAAAGTGACAATACAATGAACGGGTTCTTCTTGTGGACCTAATTCTTTTAACAAGGTTAGTATTTTTGAGTGTGAATATTTCAACATGATTATTAAAATACAGAATACCTACCCTATGCTCAGTGTGATTTGTGATGTCCTTAGCCAAAAGCAATATAATTGGCTAGAGCTGACTTAGCAGAAACATTTGCTTAATCCTGTTAACATTCTCACTAATGAACTGTCCAGTGATCTAAAAAGGGGTCCAAGATATCCAGTTGCCTCCCATCACAGGGCTGATTGTTAATATTTTTCAGTGACTTTGGTCCCATATAACAACATAAGAACTGAATGGGAGATTCTACATATTGTCTTATTGGTCAATGACTTCTCTGACAAGCAATTTAAAATGGACAAAAAATGTTTTAAAATCCAATTAGACAAGGAGTTTCTTTTTTATTTTCATTATGAATTTAGAAGTTTTGAAAAGTCTTTTGGAAGATTTCCTGTTAGCTAGCATTTCTACCAAAAAATAAGCAAGTAAGTGTGACAAAGCAGACATTTCAGTAATTATAATCTGTTGACTGGACTTTGGAATTAAGCATTTGCAGAGCCTGGGATAGTGCACAGCACAAAGATAGAGGTAGGAGAGTAGCAACATTCTAAAGCTAGTTTGGAGGAGCATAAGTGTTGGAGGGTAAGAATAAAGAACTTGGCACAGGGCATTCCCTCCACCACTGCCCAGAAGCCAAATCCCCTCACTCTTTATCCGCTGGCAGGTCACCCATCTGCCTCCCACTTGCTTTGTCTACTTACTTCCCACATCTTTAAGATCTCTGCTTAGTTGTCACTTACTCTGGAACCTTCCGTCTCGGATCAAACATGTCTATGATATACTTTTTTATGGTACTGATTGTAGTCTTTGTCTTACATTTATTTATCATGTATGACTCATCTGCCAGTCTCTAAGCTCCATGACAACAAGAGTTCTTCTTCCACTATGTCACAGTGCCACACGCAGTAAGGACTCAGCTTGCCGAATGAAATTTATTCTCTAAGCCTACATTCCCCTACTTTTTAAAAGGAAGATTTTTAAGAAACTACTCAGCACTAATGTGATGACTACTTAGTTTTCAAGAAAGACATTCATCTGCTTTAGGGCGTACCAGCTTTCTACTTCTAAAAGATGCTCTGTGCCATTCAGAATTTACAGAGCAACACTAAAACAGGCCTGTTGCCTTGATTTCTCAGAGGGCTTCAAACACCGATATTGCTGGGGGTCAGAGGCTTGTTGCTAAAACCCATTTGGGGCTGTTTTGGAAATGTGGGCTCACTGAAGCCATATTGGCTTTAAAATATCACTCTGTGCAGGATGTTGCATGGATGCTGATAGAAATAGATCTAATATTTTTTAAACCCCAAACATGCTCAAATGAACCTTAGACTAGAATCTCAAACGGCTGTTTTCTTAGTTTCTTCCAACCTTTTTTTTTTTCTCTCTTGGCACGTCAGTGACTAATAAATTGCAGCAAAGCTTGAGTTTATACTAGCTCATAGGTGATTACACTGGACAAGTAGTTTTCCCAAACCCTAGGGCCCCTTGGAAAATGAAATAACCCACATATGGAAGGAATCAGCCAACAGAGGGGCCTCTACCTACCTGCATTCTCTAGCTGCTGAAACTGTGTTTTGATAAGATAAGAGGAAACAGGGCAAGAAGGAACTTAGAGTCCTAGAAACTGAACTATAGCTCTTGTTGCTGTAAAGCCCTCATCAAACAGGTCAGTTATGCCTAAGTGACTGTGTTGCAGTATTGCTGAGTTTCATCCGAACTTAATGTTTAGTCTCTATCCCATCCCTATCTACCTTTATTACCTTTTAGCTGCTACCATGACACTATTCCAGCAACCATATATTTCGAAGTCCCATGAGAATCTGTTTCAGTGGTTTGGTCCTGATATTTTCATGACTGTATGCATTTTCATTGGACCAGATATTTTGATATTTGCCTTCCATAACAAGATCCCTGGAATCGCACACAGGGTAGGAGCGCAACCCTAAAAGCTGATGGGGCAGTCAACAGAAAGGAGTAAAGCCACCCCAGTGTAACAGGGCAGCTAGTAGTACAGGCCTGGACCAACTTTTTAGATCTTTGGACCTTTCAAAATGCTGAATGCCCAAACTTCTGTGGGAAATATTCTAATTTTTTAAGTGTCTTTAATTTAACGTATGAGTATGCCAAGAAACAAACACAAAACTCCATTTGTCTATGGGCCTCATTGGGCCACAGCTTGCCAGATTGTTTCAGTCTTTTCCTAAAATCTCAAGGTTTTATCCCTGTTCATGCATCTCCCCCTGCACAAATACCATGTTATCAAATCTTATGACAACTTTGTGAGATAGCTCATCATGTCCTCATTTTTAATTTGAGGACACCAAGGCTCAGCTGTTGCCAATTCATCCCTGGTTATAAATTTCAGACTAGATTTAGGGTTTGAAAAGAATTATTTCAGATCCCCATGTCCCTGCCATTTGTCCTGTTATGCCATTATCTGAAATAAATCATGCCCCCTCTACATTTAAGACACTACAATGACCGCCCCTCAAATCTATAAAAAGTGAAAAAAGTCTTAATGTGGAGTTATTTACCTACAAGAATTGGGAGTCTAGGGTGAACAACAGTGAGAAGTAGACTCAAAAAGAGTAAGAAACGGTCAAATTCCTAGTGGCCAAATGGACACAAGACTGAAGAATAAGAATGTTTAAATACTTGAGTTGGTGTTGTGATTGCTACTGTTAAAAACTTTAGCCGAATTAGGAGTTTAATTGAACAAAGAACAATTTGTGAGTTGGGCAGCCTTCTGAGCCAGAGTAGGCTCAGAGATCCCAGTACAGCCCTGTGGTGGAAGATTATTTATGGTTCAGAAAAAGGAAAGTGACTTACAGAAATGGCTGGATTGGTTATAGCTCAGCATTTGCCTTATTTGAACAAGGTTTGAACAGTTGGCCACCTTTTAGAATGGCCAAAACTTGGTGACTGGCACAAAAGTAGGCTACAGTCTATTTACAACTATTTAGGTTACAGTTCATGATGTGCAGAGAAACATTCAGGCTGAAATTAAAATATGCAAGGAGGAAGCTTTAGGCTAAACTTGATTTGACACTAAAATTTGAGACCCTTCTATTTTCCAGTCATTTAGGAAAAGTCTGATGCTAGATAGCTGGTGTCAGTGGTATTTAGAAGAGTGAAGCATGGGGTGGTTTTCAGTGTAGGAGTGATGCAATGTGAAGAAAACGTGTGAGAGCCAGGCATTGATGAAATGGTCTAATTCATTAGAATCAGGAACCCATAGCCATTGTAACCAGAAAAAATATAAACCTCTTCAAAACCCTCCCATTCAAGATCTCAAGTTTAGAAAGGCAGTGAGTTTCTCATCTTAAGCTAAAAAATGTTGACTCTCAAAGAGCAGGATGACTCGTTGTGTCTGCATTATACCTGGAAATAAAAGGTTTCCATAACCACTCCCCACTCATGACAAGCAAAACGAATTGCTTTGGTGTGTGTTCCCATTGCACTTTGTTTTATATGCATTATATTGTAACTATATAATCCTGATAGAAGAGAATGAATCATTATCCCCATGTCTCTAGTACCTATCATGATAGGATACAAATGCTCAGTAATAACTTAGATGTTTTTAAAATCCTACCAATCTCCAAATTAGTAGCCGTTTATATTGTGTCTGATTCAATCCATTGTGTTTATACTTAATATCCTTTTGTAACTCTGAGTTTAATTTGCCAGAAGGTACTAATTTTATTGCTTCCAAAGTGGTCACTTTTTCTGTTTATATGACACTTAATGTTTCAATTTTCTCTCAGACCCCTTTGCAGACAACCAGTCAGAATACACACTTGGTAACATAAACCCAAATTAATTTGCACAGTTTTGCTTGACTGGGCTTTTTTCTCAAAGTCACGCTCCATGAAAAATTCTAACCAGGTGAGCCTTAGCAAAGCAGCTGTTTCTCCCACAGTATATAAGGGAGGAATCCTCAAGGCATGAGCCTAAGAGGAGGCAGGTGATTGCCTGGCCTACTTGGGGTCTTCGTCTAATATTGACTTTTAATTATGAAGGCCAAATGTTTGTTTTCTTATGGGATCCATTTCTGCCCCATGGTATTGACACAGTTGCAAAATGAAACCTGTTTACGTTTTTAAATGGGGTAGATGAGTAAGTTTATATTACAGTAATACATTCTGAGTGTCAGCTCTTGGAAACTCAGATCCTATGTCTGTCTTGTATGAGTTTCTAACTAAATGTCCCACATGTCTTCATCAATCTACTTAGATTTTTATTATACTTTACAAGCTTACTAAAAATATATTAAAGATATGCCATCTATTTTTGAAAACTCTTTAGAAATATATATATATAATACCTTCTGTGTGTTTATTCATTTAATATTAGGTCTGGCACAAAGAAGGGGTCCTTAATTTGTCAAGTACTAAGCATTCAATGAAGAACAAAAAGGCCTGGCTCCTACCTGAAGAACTTTCATCTTATGGATCACAGACAAAAATAGGCCATTACAAGAAAGGGTGTTAAGTGCTTACAGTAACAACAGTCGTGAGGTATTTGGACCCAGAAATCCTACTTCTAGAAATCTATCCTAAGGAAATACTGTGTAAATCATGTCTGCATTTCAGATATGATTTGTTCACTCAGCGAACATTATTGGCAGACCAAATTCATGCCAATATGGTTCACCCAGTGCTTTGCTTCACTGTGAAAAAATTGTGGAAAGAGTAGAAAAACTGTATTTAGCCAATTTGCTATAATAAAAATAATAGAAAACACAATGTAAGTGTTAGCAATTCTGTGCCAGGCAAAGATTAAAGCACTTAATCTGAATTAACATTCTCTCAAACTGCATGAGGATTATTACTATGATCCATTTTATATGTAAGAAAACTGACACCAGCTGGGAGCGGTGGCTCATGCCTATAATCCCAGCATTTGGGAGGCCGAGGCGGGTGGATCACCTGAGGTCAGGAGTTCATGACCAGCCTGACTAACATGGTGAATCCCCATCTCCACTAAATACAAAAAAATTAACTGGGAGTGATGACGCATGCCTGTAATCAGAGCTACTTGGAAGGCTGAGACAAGAGAATCACTTGTACCTGGGAGGCGGAGGTTGCAGTGAGCTGAGATAGCGCCATTGCACTCCAGCCTGGGCAGCAAGAGTGAAACTCCATCTCAAAAAAAAAAAAGACTGACATTAAAAAGTTAAATGATTTGTCCAAGGTTACTTAAGAAGTCATCTGACAGGCAGTGTGGCTTGAGAGTCTGCCTTATGTTACAGCCATTAGAAATGTTTATGTACTTTATACTGATACAGAAAGGCTTATGATATTCAGAGTTGGATACATACTACTTATCTTAGCCTGAGTTCTCCTAGAAAGCACAGACTCAGATAAGGGCTTGCTAGCATGCAATTTATTTGGGAAAGTTATTTCAAGAAAGAGAGGAGTTGTGGAGATAGAAACAGTAAGACAGAAAAAGAGGAAAGCCAATGCAAGGATGCACCATCCATTTCATCACTGAACAGCCAGGGCTCAATCCCACTGGGCCTCTGAGGAGCTGTATAGAATGTGCCTCAGAATTATCCACTTAGTAGGTGGAACTGGGGGGCAAGGGAGGATATAACCACTGACTCCATTCCTCATTGGTGAAGAGTTACTCATGGGTATCACCCCTCTCTATGTCCAGGTCAGCCTAAGCATGAGCATTGAGTGAGTACCCATCGACCTAACTCTGAGGTGCCAGGGAAGACCTAGGGCAGAAAGCAGGAAACAGGAGGTGTTGAGAGTTAATGGGTGAAATGAAAGGAAAGCCAAGAAGACAGGAGGCAGAGCAAGAAACATCTAATACCGTCCGTCCTTTCTACCAGTCATGCCCATCACTATTTCTACTCCATTTCAGCCTTTGAGGTTACTCACTGCAATCACCACAAGACTTAGTACAGGTGGATTAATCAAGATCCAGTCTCCTCTATTACAGGTAGTCCCCAGGTTGTAACTGACAGTCAACACCTCCCTCCACTCTACCCATCCTTGTTTCCCTCCTGTTCAGCTTGTGCCTGGGGAGGCCTGGGGTTCTTACTTAGTAGAGCAATCCAGATTCTCTTTATCTAAAGACCTAGGGCTATTTCAGAAGGGAATCTGGGGGCTGTGGGCTTTATCATGGGGGCAGATGACTATGTTACAGGAAAAGACCTTTCTTCCCATGGTAGGCACTAAACCTGGAGCCTTATGGACCTCTGATCTGTGGTTTATTCTTTGGGGATACCACAGAAGCACAGCAGATGCTATGTCCCTTCCACAATTCTTGAACCTTGTAGTACACCTCAGCAGACTCCTAGCTGCTGGCTCTGCATCCCTGAGCCCTCATCACTTTATTCTTATAAGGCTTTGGTTGCTGAACTTAGCCTTTTTGCAGCTATCATAGGCATGGAATTTCCCAGAGATATGCTGTTGGACTCCCACCTGTGCCCCACACAATGGGGATAGGTAATAGTTGAAGGGGTGTTACTGCTACCAAATTGTGCTCTTCATAGTTAAAAGGGAAATTTACACACATTTTGCCACAATAAAAAATACCTTAAAATGAGATGATACACTGTTCATATGCAATTTTAATTCCTTTTTTGCTTAACATTTATAGGATGCCTTCCTTTATGTGGACATGTATATAATACTATCAATGGCTATTTCTAAGTATTATACAAGTGATTTGTTTCTTCCTAATACTTTTATATATCTTCCAAACATTCTCTAGAGTTTCTACAATGAGAATAATTAGCTTTCATAGTTTTGAAATTTTCCCAAGGAAAACATTGGGTATTAAGAAATGGCACCTGACCTTCAGAACCTAAATGATGTTTATAATGTTCCAATCAACTCGTCCTTTCCATATTGACTTTTTGGTTAAAACATTTTGGGAATCATTCAAGGGTAAGAAGGAAAAACAGATCTGTGTCCCTCAATTGTGGGAGATTTAGATTATGGCCCCTACAGGGTCTGCCCTCACCCAGCTTTCTGACTAGCTCAGCTCTAGAGAGGGCTGGCATTATTGGCATGATCTTGGACCCCCATCTCTGCAGCTTCCAGTGTTGCTATTAACAGGTGCTTGCAGACACTACTAGGAGCAGAGTCGATTGCTCCTAATCCCTTGGGTCCCTCAAGGGTGTGCCTTGTCAGTGCCTACCTGAGGCCCATACCACCGCCCCTTGCCTTCTGCCCTGGGGTTTTCATATCACAGTTCAGATGAACTAACTTCCTCAGTTGAACAACCTAGAAGTGTCCAGTGGAGCCATATCTGTCCAGTGTGAGGTGGTGAACAAATTCTTGAAGAGACAGTCTGGAGACATAGCAGCTTCATAGGGTTTCTCTAAAGGTGCCCAGCAAGACTAGGTAATTGGCTTGTTGCCAAGCTGTGGTAACCCAGAATGCATGGTTACAATGATCTCCTCTCCCCTTCCCCCATTCCTTTTTCCTTGTCTCTTCCCTTGCCTCCAACTCCTGTTTCCTTGGAATTTTATTCCCCAGCAAAGTGTTAGCACAGAATCTTTAACCTCAGGCTAGAGGTCTAAAGTTTCTAGAAGAACTGGGTAAAAATTCTATCCACACATTTTTTTAGGCCCTGTGTGTGACTTTAAGCAAATCACTTAAACCTCTGAGTTACATCTTATGTAAAATGAAGCCAACAGAGCTTAAAGATTGAAGTGGTTGTACGTAGAAAGAGTTGAGTGTTTGTTTAATGTAAAAAGTGCCCAGCGTATTTCCTGACAAACTATACTCAACAAAAATGTATCTTTCTCATTTTGCCCTTGGCTATCGTATAGTTTTTACTGTGAGCCTGCTTGTGTGGCTGGTAACCTATAACATAAGTGGAAATTTAGGAAGGTGAATCAAAGGGAAAATTGTCAGTACAGAAGAGAATAGGGTGTTGGTGACTTCATGTGGTTCAGTTTCATGTGACCTAGGGAAACAACCACATAACCCACTACAAACTGCACTTGACCACATGAATCCAGGCTCTGTTAGGCAGAAGTCAGTCTGTGGGGTTTTCTGGGAGGTTAGCTGTGTCAGCATTTTGCTCAGTGTTTTCTTTATAGGGCCAAGACAAGAACAGGATTTCCTTTCTCATCAGCTTGTTTCCCACATGTTGAAGTTACCTCTGTTAACCTTCCCAATTCCAAACAAGCTTGCCCAATAGGGCTGTTTATCTTTTAAAGGGCCAGTTTTGTATGTATTTACATCTTAATGAGGTTTCGTGTTATAATGGAGAGAGCATAGGTTGTGGAGTCAGACAGAATCTGGGTCTGAGTTGGCTTACTGTTTAGCTACATGACCTGGACAAGCCACTGAGTCTCTCAAGTGAGAATGAGAAAGGCTAATACCTATAACATAAAAGCTGTTGAGAGATTGGTGACCTAATAGGAGTTTCCATTTAACATAATGCCCAATGTTTAGGGGATACTAAATCTTTAGAAAATATTCTCTGTTCTTATTTTGGACTGTTAAATGGTTGACACATCTATTAGCAACCAGAGTTTTAGTTGAATTAATTCTAACATACAGTTGCCATTTTCTTCTACCCAAGCTGCAACTGTGCAAAGCAGCTTCTGTTTGCCCTTTCGGATCCACTCCCCAGCCTTCCTGTTTTGCTCTCTGCCCGAGAGACTGGCTTATATGAACTACATCAGTGTGTTCCCCTGCTCTTTGACATCTGGCTGAGTTCAGCCAATGGGGGACCAGACAGGAGAAAAGGGGGAGTGACGTTCCGTGTACTTAATCTAACTCCTTCTCTACAATCTCTCCTTGAAGCTTCCAGGAACCACTGCCATTCCCTCATTCTTCAGCTGGCCCAAGCCCCAAGTTGGACTATGCCTTATGGTTCCTTTACTGCTACATCTCTAATATAGCCAACTGGAAAAACTGTCAAACTCATCCTAATCAATGTGTGTCATCTATTGTGACATTGAGCAGTACATAGAATCTACACGTCATAGAAATATAATTTCACCTATTCTTGTGTTGAATACATTTACTGTTTGTGGGGATTGTATTCCTGTTTAACTGAGGTGTTATAAGAGGTTTGATAACTTCCATGAGAACACCTGGGTAGTCAGTGGTGGTGATGAGACCTGATTAGCTGCACTAAGTCAAAGTCTCTTCTGCAGACACTCCTTACCAGCAGTGGTAGCAATAGCATAGGTTAATCTGTACATCTGTCACCCTGATGTGAAAGCATCTAGACAGAGCTAGCCAACAGGGATCAGGACTGGGAGCAGTCTTGCAGTCAACCTGAGAGACAAGCCCCTGGATGATTGCTATGTAAGGCAGGGAGAAGTGGGCTATAGATCTAGGCAGACAGAGTCCAGTGCCTGGAAGTTCAGGAGCAGCATGGGGAAAAAGGGGGATAATGCTTTGATTCTAGAACAGTGACTATTTTGCTCACTGGCCTGATCTATTTGCTCAGTGGCCTGATCTATTTGCTCAGTGGCCTGATCTTCTCTGACCAATATCATTTTACAAACACACATACCCACAACAAATAAGGAGACTGCAGAAATGTTTATCATTGTGGCAACTGTCCCAGGTGCCCCTTATTTTTCCCCATCGTATTTATGATCCCATTTGATATTTATAATCTTGAACATAATACATGGAATATAGATGCATTTGGGTTGATACCTCTGAAGATTTTGGTCCCCTAACCTATGTGAATCTTCTGTGCTTGCATATGAGGCCTTCCCTTGTTTACTAAGAATTAGCACCCATCCCTTTGCCAAATAAAGTGCTGTAAGAATTGCAGAGATTTTGTGACCTAACTGCACCTCTTCTATCCTCCTGGTGACCAAGCTTAGATTATGCTGTAACTAAGCCTAGTCATATCTGGAAACATGGATAGGAAGCCTTCTCCTAGCCAATATGTTACCAGAAAAGGATAGAATACACGGAGAACTGACTTCTGACATGGTTGATCAAAGAGGGCAAATAAAGAAAAGTTTATTTGGGCACAATCTCCTACAATGGCAGGACTTAACAGCCTGCCAAGGATCTCAGGAAATGGTATGAATCTGCTATTATGATGGCTTCTAGAAGCATGGACGTTGTAGCTCATACTCAGCGAAGCTTAAATGCAAAAAAAAAAATGCTGTGCTTAAGTGGCAAAAGAAGGTATTAAAAAGCTTAGAAACAGACTTGCTGAAGGGTATATAATGTATGACTGGAAGACCCAACAGATGTGTCCCATAGGAAGATGCTGAGGGCAATTTTATGAAGGCAGTAGAAAATGTGCCAGTGAGTAGAACACTAGTATCACTAAAACATGCAATGGCGGCTGTCCTGTTAGCCAGATGGAATGAGCAATATACATTCACTGTTATCCCCAGGCCTAAGTTAACTTTTCTGCCTTATCTCATAAGTTTAAAGTTATCTGGACCATCTGGATACCCTGTAGAACATTACAATGATCTATTACATCAATGAACTTCTGTTGATTGATCCAGATGAGTAAGTTAGCCCGCATACTGGCAGCCTTGGTAAGACACATATACTCCAGAATATTAAAAGGTTTGCCATATCCATAAAATATTTAGAGGTCCAATGGTCAAAGGTATTCTCAAATTTCCCCTAAAGTAAAAAAAACAAATCACTGCCACTTATATCTCCTGCCACAAAGGAGGAAGCACAATGCCTGATGGGCCTCAGGTTCTGGAGGAAGCTGATCCCACACACAGGGAAGCTGCTCTGGCTTATGTCCCAGGTGATGCGAAAGCCTGACAGCCTTGACCAGACCCAGAGCAGGAAAAAAAAAACCAAAAACAAACAGATGCTTGTCCAGGCCATGACGCAATCAGCCCTGTTGCTTGGGCCATATGATCTGGCAAACCCTATGATAGAAGTTTCCACTGGGGAAAAATGTGTGTGGAATTTATGGTAAGTCCTAGGATGACAATCACAACACGGGCCCCTGAAATGGACAATGTACATTCACTGTTATCCCCAGGCCTATGTTAGCTTTTTTGAGCAATGCCATATCATCTCTAATGGATAACTGTACAACTTTTTATTTTACCAATTTAAAACTTCCTTTTTAAAAGGAATTCATGTAGTAAGGTATTTAACATAGTAGTTCCTCATAGATAGTTCTTTCTTCTTTATTACTTCTCCACATGCTTAGTAATCTTTTCTAAAATTTACTAGGAGTTGACATTAAGCTCACTGACCTATAACTTTCAAAACTCTACCTTATCCTTTTACAAAAGTTGCATATTTTCAACTCTTGCAACCTATTCTTTCTCTGATTAACAGAAGTATCCTTATGTCAAACCTACAAGTTCTGAAAAATTACTTTCAGATGTGCTCTTCTGAGCCTAGAAAAAGTAGAGATAACTTTATAGTTTATAATTTAGTTGATCTTTTCCCTAACTTTGTTTATGCCCTCATAACTATTTCATAGCTTGAAAAATGTTTTCTTTGATAGAAGTAGAAACAGAAGAGAGACTGGGTATTTTTGTACTATCACCAGTTAGTCCTTCAAACTGCTCTCAACTACCACCACCAAATTGAATGTTATAATACCCCCACACTCCCCATCATGAGCTGAATCCTGCCAGACCCACCAAGTCATAAGGTCAGATGGGCCCAGCAACACTCCATCAAAAGATTGAAATGGTACATTAAAGATCAAACATGGGCGGAACTGGAAGTCTCAAACAAGCTAATAAACAGGTAGCTCAGACCCACCACTTATGCAGCAGCATGTTTCCCTTAGCTTATGCCTATGGCCCTGGGTTTGGCCATGTACGAGGTGGGAGACAATAAAGTGGAGATATTGAGTCTGTGGCTGTATGTGTGATTCTGGTGCTTGGGAGAAATTCGTCAGATACTCAAGTCTTACTCTTGACACTATTCTAAAGTGCTCCACAATTAACATTCTTAAGTTAACTTTTGTCCATAACTTGTTAACTTTTGTTACAACTCTTAGCCACCTTGGCATCTGGTGACCCTAATATCAGCCAAGTCCTTACTGCCTTGAGGTTTCATTTTTCAACTATGATGCAATGCCTCCTGACTTAGGATATGACCTGTAACCACTGACCCTTGACAACTGGCCTTGGTTTCACCTCCTTGGTCACTCCCTTTGCCCCCTAGGTAATATTTGCAGTCCATTTACCTCTTTTTTGACTCTTATCTCTGACTTGTCTTCAATATCCTGAAATTATGATGAACTGCTTGGTTCTCACAGAGTAACTCTGCAATGACTCAGAGTCACAGCCTCTTCCAAAGACTGGAAAAAAATGCTTATTTTTTTTTATTGAAACCAACAGTTTCAATAAGCAAAGAGTAATCAAAGAATCTCTTGAAACTTTATAGAATCATACATTTAACTTTTCCTAATGTTTGTGTACATAAAAAAGCATAGACAGTGCTTCTTTATTTTTGCCATTCACTGAGCAGTATTTTATAAACATCAGATACACTCAATATTGAAATAAAACATAGCAGTCAGAGAGAGCTATCTATAAAGCAAAGGGCAGAATCCAGAAGCAGGTGCCTCTGCCATTGGAAGTAAGGGAGGATAGACAATTGACAGGGATGCCCCATGAATTATTTGTGGGCAGGAGTAGAGGTGATGCATAAAAACCAAATGAAAGTCTTTTTTTTCTCATACATAAAGATTATTGGAGAGATTTGATAGGCATAGGAACCATAGTTGCTGGTCTGGTCAGGGTCCTTAGGCTGATGTGTCAGCCCCAGCACTTTAATTCAATTCCTATTCTTACAACGGGTTTACTCTTTGAAGCTAATTCTTGATATGGCTCCTCTGACCAATGCTCATAGCTTCTCTTATCTATACTCTATACTGATTTCCCTCCTTTGGGGTATATAACCAGCAGTAAGATTGCTAGATCACATGATAGTTAAACTTTTAGTTTTTTGAGGAGCCTCTAAACTGCTTTCCATAGTGGTTGTACTAACTTACATTCCACTAATAGTATACAAGGATTCCCTTTTCTACACATCCTCACCAGCATTTGTTACTGCCTTTCTTTTGGATATAAGCCATTGTAACTGGGGTGAGATGACATCTCATTATGGTTTTCATTTAAATTTCTCTAATCAATGATGTTGAGCACCTTTTTCTATGCCTGTTTGACATTTGTCTTTTGAGAAATGTCTAATTCAAATCTTTTGCCCATCTTCTGATCAGATTAGCTTTTTTTCTAGAGTTTGAATTCCTTATATATCTTGGTTATTAATCTCTTGTCAGAGTAGTAGTTTGCAACTATATTTTCTCATTCTGTGGGTTGTCTCTTTACTTTGATTGTATCATTTGCTATGCAGAAGCTTTTTAACTTAATGTGATCCCATTTGTCCATGTTTGCTTGGTTGTCTGTGCTTTGTGGGATAGTGCTCAAGAAGTCTTTGCCCTGACCAGTGTCCTGGAGATTTTCCCCAGTGTTTTCATAGTCTGTAGGAGTTTCATAGTCTGAGGTCTTAGATTTAAGTATGTAACCCATTTTGATTTGATTTTTGTATATGGTGAGAGATAGGGGTCTAGTTCCATTATTTTGCATATGGATATCCAGTTTTCCCAGCACCATTTATCGAAGAGACTGTCTTTTCCCCAGGATATATTCTTGGCACCTTTATCAAAAATGAGTTTACCATAGGTGTGTAGAATTGTTTCTGGGCTCTCTATTCCGATCCATTGGTCTATGTGTCTGTTTTTATGCCACTACCATGCTGTTTTGTTTACTAAACTCTGTGGTATAATTTTGAAGTCAAGTAATGCGGTTCCTCCAGTTTTGTCCTTTTTGCTTATGATAGCTTTGGCTATTCTGGGCCTTTTGTGATTCCACATAAATCTTAGGAATTTTTTTTCTTTTTTCATGAAGAATGTCATTGGTATTTTGATAGGGATTGAATTGAATCTGTAGATTGCTTTGGGAAGTATGGACATTTTAACTATTGATTCTTGAAATCCATGCACAGAGTATTTTGCCATTTTTTGTGTCCTCTTTAAATTTTCATCAGTGTTTCGTAGTTTTCATTATAGAGATTTTTCACTTATTTGGTTAACATAATTTCCAGGTATTTAATCTTATAAGTAGCTATAATAAATGCAATTGCTTTTTAAATTTTTTTTACATTGTTCACTGTTGGCATATAAAAATGCTACTGATTTTTGTATGTGGGTTTTTACATCTTGCAACTTTACTAGATTTATCAGTCATAATAGTTTTCTTGTGAAGTCTTTAGGTTTTTCATCAGCAAACAAGGATAATTTGACTTCTTCCTTTCCAATTTCGATGTCCTTTATGTCTTTCTCTTGTCTGATTGCTCTAGCTAGGACTTCTAGGAATATGTTGAATAACAGTGGTGACGGTGGACATCCTTGTTGTGTTCCAGATTTTAGAGAAAAGGCTTTCAGTTCTTCCCATTCAGTAGGATACTAGCTGTGGGTCTGTCATATGACTTTTATTATGTTGAGGTAGGTTCCTTCTATACCCAGTTTCTTTGGGGTTTTTATTATGAAGGGCTGTTAAATCTTATCAAATGCTTTTTCAGCATCAACTGGAATGGTTGTATGGTTTTTATCATTCTTTCTGTTGATATATATTTTATTTATTTTTGCATATCTTGAACCATCTTACATCCCAGAGATAAATCTCACATGGTCATGATGAATGGTCTTTCTAATGTATTGTTGAAATTGTTTGCTAATATATATTCTTAGGATTTTTGCATCAATATTCAACAGTTATTAGCCTGTAGTTTTCTTCTGTTGATGTGTATTTCTCTGGTTTTGGCACCACTAGCCTCATAGAATGAGTTTGGAAGTATTCTCCCCTCCTCTATTTCTTGGAATATGTTTGAGTAGAATTGATATTAGTTATTCTTTAAATGTTTGGTAGAATTCAGCAATAAGCCATCAGGTCCTGGGCTTTTCTTTACTGGAAGATGTTTTATTGCAGCTTTGATCTCGTTACTTGTTATTAGTCTGTTCAGGTTTTGAATTTCTTCCTGGTTCAATCTTGGTAGGTCATACATATCTAGGAATTCATCAACTTCTTCAGATTTTCCAATTTATTGGCAGATAGTTGCTCATGGCAGCCACTAATGATCCTTTGAATTTCTGTAGTATGAGTTGTAATGTCTCCTTTTTCATTTCTGATTTTATTTATTTAGATCTTCTTTTTTTCTTAGTCTGGCCAAAGGTTTGTTTTTATTTAACTTTTCAGAAAACCAACTTTTTATTTCATTGATCTTTTGTATTTTTTTCACTTATTTCTGCTCTAGTCTTTGTTTCTTCTAATTTTGGGTTTGGTTTGCTCTCGCTTTTCTCGTTCAGGATGTAACATTTAAAGTTTTTCCTCTTTTAGATGTAGGGACTTATAGCTATAAACTTCCCTCTGATTACTGCTTTTGCTGTATCCCACAGGTTTTGGCATGTTGTTTCCATTATCACTTGTTTTAGGAAGGTTTTCAGTTTCTTTAACTTCTTCATTGACCCACTTTTCATGAGAAACATTGTTTAATTTCTATGTATTTGTATAGTTTCCCAAATTCCTCTTGTTTTCAGTTTTATTTCATTGTGGTCAGATAAGATGCTTGATATTATTTCAATTTTCTGAATGTTTTGAGACTTGTTTTGTGACCTAACATATGGTCTATCCTTGAGAATGATCTGTGTGCTGAGGAAATGAATGTGTACTTTGCAGCTCTTGGATGAAATGTTTTGTAAATATCAGATCCATTTGGTCTATAATGCAGATTAAGTCTCTGATTTTCTGTCTGGAATATCTGTCTAATGCTGAAAGTACGGTGTTGAAGTCTCCCAGCTATTACTCTATTAAGGTCTATCTTTCTAGCTCTAATATTTCCCTTATATATCTAGGTACTCCCATTATTTTGAGTGCATATATATTTAAAATTGTTACATCCTTTTGCTGAATTGACCCCTTTATCATTATATAGTGACCTTCTTTGTCTCCTATAGTATTTGTCTTGAAATCTATTTTGTCTGATGTAAGGATAGTGACTCCTGGTTTTATTTTTGTTTTTGTCGGCATGAGATATTTTCTATCTTTTTAATTTCAAGCTATGTGTGTCTTTATAGGTGAAGTGGGTTTCTTGTAGGCAACAGATCAATGAGTCTTCTTTTTTCATCCATTTAGCCAGTCTGTCTCTTGACTGGAGAGTTTAGTTCACTTACATTCAATGTCATTATTGATAAAGACTCCTGTCATTTTGTTATTTTCTGGTTGTTCTATGGTATTTCTTTCCTTCCTGTCTCCCTCTAGTGAAGATGATTTTCTCTGATATAATTTAGTTTCTTCCTTATTTTTTTTTGTGTATCTGTTGCATGTTTTTTGGTTTGAGGTCGCCACAAGGCTGGCATAAACATGCAAGCAAAAAGAGAACTAAAAATGCATCTTAAGTTTGCCCCTCACTTTTGAACTTTTTGTTTTTGTTTGTACTTATTGTACTGTTTCTTGAAGTTGTTGTCATTATTATTTTTGATCAATTCATTAGTCTTTCTACTTAGGATAAGAGTAGTTTATACACAGTTAGTGTTTATAATATAGTGTTTTTCTGTGTACTTACTATTACCAGTAAGTTTTATACCTTCAGGTGATTATTTATTGTTCATTAATGTCTTTTTCTTTCTGACTGAAGTACTCCCTTTAGCATTTCTTTTTTTTTTTTTTTTTTTTTTTGAGACGGAGTCTCGCTCTGTCGCCCAGGCTGGAGTGCAGTGGCGGGATCTCAGCTCACTGCAAGCTCCGCCTCCCGGGTTCACGCCATTCTCCTGCCTCAGCCTCCCAAGTAGCTGGGACTACAGGCACCCGCCAATACGCCCGGCTAATTTTTTGTATTTTTAGTAGAGATGGGGTTTCACCGTTTTTAGCTGGGATGGTCTCGATCTCCTGACCTCGTGATCCGCCCGCCTCGGCCTCCCAAAGTGCTGGGATTACAGGCATGAGCCACCACGCCCGGCCTCCCTTTAGCATTTCTTATAGGATGGGTCTGGTATAGGATGATGAAATACCTTGGGTTTTATTAGTCTGGGAAAGTCTTTATTTCTCCATGTTTGAAGAATATTTTTGCGGATGTACTACTCTAGGGTAAAAGGTTTTTCCTTCAGCACTTTAGCTGGTGATTAATGCTGGCAGGACTGTTCTTTCCTTCAAGGCAGCTGGTTCTCTTCTGGCCCAGGGTGTGTCTCTAGAAATGTTGTCTGGGGGGCTAAGGCCTAGAAAAGGGGCCTCTTGACTCTGGTGCCCTATCATCCTTCTATGGCTGAGCTGGTATCCAAAGTACAAGATAAAGTCCTTCCCATTCTTCCTTCTCAAGTGGAAGGAAGGGGGTCTCTTTTGGAGCTGTGAGCTGTACAGCCTGGGATTAGGGAAGGGGTGATGCTAGCACTCCCTCTACTGCCCCAGCTGGTGTCTCAGTAGGTAGTGTACCCCCGAGAACACTGTCTCTGGACCTAGTTCAGCTCTAGGACTTGCCTAGAGGTTGCAGTCATTATGGCCTAGACTGCCTTTCAAGATTACTTGAAGACCAAGACCACTTAGGACCTTGGTGGTAAGGTTTGTGGGAATTCAAGTTCAGACTGCTGGGATCGGGGATTCTCCTCTGGCTAGGGGTGGTTTAAATGCTTCCTTCATGGGTGTGGATCAGCTGAGTTTTGTCCAGGTTTCCTTTCTGCTCTAACAGAACATCACTGAGTTCATTGCCTCACAATTACTGTGTTCTCCCTCCCTCAGCAATTTATTTTGCTGTGTTCTCCCTCCCTCAGCACTGACAATCCACATAGGTGTTGCTGGGGCTAGGGGAGAGGTGGTGATGGTGATTTAGGACTGTTTCTCCAACTCTTCAGTGCCTCTTTCAGCAATATGAAATAAAACCAGGTACTCAGAGGGCTCAGCTGACCCTTGGTTCTTTATAAAGATGTCTTTTTCTGTGTAGAGAGCTGTTAACTTGGTGTCCTTGTGGGGCAGGGGATGTTTGGTGAAACTTTCTTTTTATTTATTTTTTTGTTTTGTTTTGTTTTGTTTTGAGATGGAGTCTCACTCAGTCACCCAGGCTGCAGTGCAGTGGTGTGCTCTCTGCTCACTGCAAGCTCTGCCTCCCAGGTTCATGCCATTCTCCTGCCTCAGACTCCTGAGTAGCTGGGACTACAGGCACCTGCCACCACGCTCGCCTAATTTTTTGTATTTTTAGTAGAGATGGGGTTTCATCGTGTTAGCCAGGATGGTCTCGATCTCCTAACCTCATGATCTGCCCACCTCGGCCTCCCAAAATGCTGGGATTACAGGTGTGAGCCACCGTGCCCGGCCAGAACTTTCTATTTCACCATCTTGCACTGCTTCCACCTGTGTTCTTTTTCCCTCTGAAAATAGCCACTCTATTTCCTAAGCCATGAACCTTAGTCATATTAGACTTTTCCTCTCCCTTCTGCTACATTCAAGTTTTACTAATTCTACCTCTTCCACCATTGCTCCCCAACCTTCATCCAGGCTGTCAAAATCTCATGCCTCAATTACTAAAGATGCTCCACCATGGCTTCCTGCCTATTTCACTCATCTGGAGTTAATCCTGATGAGCAACATGGAGACTTGGAGACTTGGAAGAATGTTTAGAGGACCTCCTGAGTGAGGCAATCAAGGCCCCACACCCCTGCTACCTTTTCTAAACTCATCTTCCATCAGGTGCCCCTGGGAACACTGCTTTCTCTATCCTGTTACAATTATCCACTTTTATGTGTGGTGATCCTTTCCTTTGGGGTGCCCTCAACCACCTCTACCCCATTTTTTCTACCTTGAGTCTCCTTTAAAGTATCATCTCTTCTGAGACTTTTCTTTATTTCCTTAATTGACACCAATGCTTTCCCCCACACCTCCCTATTCCGTTATAGCATTTATCACAGAATACTCTGATAACTGGTTTACATATTTTAAAAGGTAAGGGCCCAAACATATTTACTCCCTGTATCCCTATTGGATTAGTTGATGTCCAATTAATATAAGATATAGGATGTAGCCGGAACTTAATAAAAACTGAATCAATGAGTCTAACCTAAGCACTCTTGCCCTGGCTTCTATTCATTGGCTTAAATCCCTGAAACCATGTGAAAAGTATGTATATATTGTTTAGGATGTTGGGACTCTTTTATTTTTATTGAAACACCAATGTGATAGTCTATCTTTCATGTCCTTTGTAATCCCACGTTTCAGATAACAGATACCAAAAGAAACTCAGAGAACCAGATCCAGGACTCTTGGGATCCAGGGCAGATCAAGAGAATAAGAAAGGATAAGAATGTAGAGAAAACAAAGGATGTACGAAGAGAGCAGTTACTGTCTTGGAGATTCTACCTCCATCCAAAAGAGTCAGGGGAGGGTTGTGGGGGATGCTAATTGCTTCACTTTCAGCCTAATGTCAAGGAAGCTTCCATCGTACCATTGAAAGATGTGGGGAGACATAAGACTAATGCAGGGCTTGCTCTTGGGAAAGCTGAAGCTACCTGTGGTACAGGGACAGAGACTACTCTAAGGTCAATCTGCACCCCCCAGACTCTGTTGAGACTAGAGATATGGAAGAGTTTCCTGGGGCCAGAAGTAGGAGGGAGACTGATGCTCAAAGGTGGTATGAAACCTGCTGTATTAGTCTGTTCTCACGCTGCTAACAAAGACACACCCAAGGCTGGGTAATTCATAAAGGAAAGAGGTTTAATAGACTCACAGTTCCACATAGCTGGGAAGGCCTCACGATCACGGTGGAAGGCAAAGGAGAAGCAAAGGCTCATCTTACATGGTGGCAGGCAAGAGTTTGTGCAAGGCAACTCCCACTTACAAAACCATCAGATCTCATGAGGCTTATTCACTACCATGAGAACAGTATGGGAGAAACAACCCCCATGATTCAATTATCTCCACCTGGCCCTGCCTTGATGTGTGGGCATTATTACCATTCAAAGTGAGATTTGGGTGGGGACACAGCCAAACCATATCACCTGCCCAAGAGCTTCTGCCACAGGTCTAGAAAATTTGAGAGCAAGGATCTAAAATCTAGACCTTAAGAGGCTCCCAGAAGCCATGTAAAGAGAATGTTCCTGGCCCACATCACAAATACTGTAGACTCAGGTGGTGCCCAGCAAGAAGCTCCAAAGCTCCAAGGACAAGGAAAGGAGTCTACTCCAAACATCTTCCACAACTAGAACATAAGGCCAGCTCCAGTAAGAACTTTCCTATCACCTTACTTCCCTCCTTCCCTTTTTGAGCCTTCCAAACAAGCAGGCCCAAACTGAGAAAGAACACACTATAAATAAAGTTTGGAGTTAAGGTTAATATCTTGGATATTCTGACTTCTAAATGAAACCTATGCTTTAACATAAAGTGACTACAGGCATAATATTCAGGTGTGAAGGAATCTGTTAGGACTTACATCCTGGGAAATAGAATCTGTTAGGATTTACATCTATGTACAGGGGGAAAATGTCCCCAGTGATTTATACTGTAAAGGAATAGTGAGATAAAAACGAAGTTTTAATGTGGCTAAGACATAAGTTGCACTTATTCACTTCCTGAGGATCCATGGCTTCTTTAGATTTCCAAAGGGATCTGCGATGAGAGAAAAGGTTAAGAACCAACTTGTGTTCTTCACAGAGCAGGGGAATGAGCTGAAACATGTTTATGTGTAAAGACCTGAATAAATGTCTCCTGCTCCCAGCCTAGGTCTCTGAGACCAAAGCCTTAAAAGTTTTAAACATTAACTGGACATACAATTCTGCATCTAAGAAAATCAAATTTTTATGTACTTTCACCTTTCTCTCCCTATGAGCAATCTCAGGGCTGCAGACCAATTGGAAACACAGGGAAAAGGGGAGAAAAAAGATAGGGTCTGGTTTTCTCCTAGCAAAGCACACAAGGATCATGTGTCTCCATAATGAGACTCCAGTACTTGCTAAGCCATAGCCCCACTCACTGCCAACCACATACGTCTGCACATTTGATAGACTGCAGGCTTCGTTTGTACAGGAGTCCCTAATTAACCTTGACAGGGCCAGAAATCCCAAGGCTTTCAGGCTCAAGGAGGCAGGGGTTTCCTGAAGGGCTGGTCAACCCAGGGGAGTTGTGTCCTGTGCTTTAATGGCCTGGCTCATGGCTGGGGGTGGAAGCAGTTTGTAGATGAATTTCTCCTTGTAAGGATACAGAAGAGAAGTTTGAGGTCTCTGATAACCACCCTGCTTCTGGTGGTAGAAGCAGGAAGGATTATACTGAAGTGGAATGGGGTACAAACCTGGCTCCATAGATGACCATTTCACTCATTAATTGGAAGAGGAAAGATAATTGGTGGCAGAAAGTATCACAATGATCTTCTTCAAATAAATGAAGACTTTACATCATGGTTGTTTGCAGCTTCTCATGCTTATCTGTGGCACATTTGCCCCCAATCCTCACACCAACTCTAGCCTTTTCTCTTTTTGGTTGAGCATTACTTGCTTGTCTCCTAGTGAATCTTAGAAGTAGATAATTTATGGGTATAAAAATATGGATAAGACAATTATGGTTTCTGGCTTGTGGGTATGTGTGATATAATTATTTGCTGAATGTCTTTTCTTTCCTGTGGATAAATAAGCACTAAATAAAAGACATTGTGTTATAGATACCAAGACTGAAATATAATCCCTAACTTCTAGAAGCTGCAGCCTCTGGGGAGTTCAGACAAGTAAACAGATGAGTATAAGGCATGATGTGAATATATGGTGACATGGAAGCATGGGCAAAGTGCACCCAACCAGACAGGGTGATCAGGACAGCTTCTATAAGAAGGTGAGGTATGAATTAATGCCTAAAGGAGGGGTGAACATGAGCTAGGCCAATTGCAGGAAGAAAGGGTCACCAATGAAAAAGCACAAGCTAGGATACATCCCAGGAAAGAGCCAGATGTTCAGTGAGACTAGAGCAAATAATGAGTGAGAGGAGAGGCTGAAGATGTTGGGGCCCAGTCATCAGGAAGGGGCAGCCAGGTAATATGGGGCTTTGGTTGCATTCAAGCACACATTTCTATCTTCTTCTCTCTGCCTTCCCCTTTATCATAGGGATTGAAAGCCTAGGAACTACACTTCCCAAATTCCCTTGCCCCCAGAGTTTTGCATCAATTAGACGCACTCATGTGAGAGTTGGAAGGCAGAAACAAGGCAAAGGTCATATTCTCCAGCAGTTATAACAGATACAAGGGTTTCAGCAAATGAAAAAAAGGTTTTTGTGACAGACCTTGGGTTCCCATGATAGGAAGTTACAATTCCTTCTAGAGACTGTGGAGGAGTTGTGAAGCTAGTCAAGCTGAGCTAGAGACAGGAAGACAGAGTGAGGAGGCTACTACAGTTAAAATGAGGAGAAGGAGACCCTGAAATAAACAATGACTGTTGTAATGAGGCATAAAGGGCAAACGGAAGGGTCAAGGGTGCTAACAGCATGGAAATGTTTACAAAAACTGAAAAATGCTATTCATAGAATAAAATTAGTATTACATTAGCAAGAGCAGCATTTGATTATGCTTAGCTTGGAATTATCTCTTGCATCTAAGTCAAAAGGAGATTCTGGAGAAGTCTTTTGGAGGAAGTGAAATATATTTCCTTGGTTCTTGAGGAATGAGAATGCTGTAGATGATTCCCTTTGTCCTCCTTCCACCTTTAGCATCTATTATGCTTCTTCTTAACTAGACACTGCTGGATTCTTTCACATACTGTGAAAGCTTCCCCATAACCTATGTAAGTAGGCATTTTCAGCCACTTACAAGAGACATAATAGCTCTCCCAAGGTTACCTAGTTAGAAGACAAATCAAAACGGGATCTCTGGACTCCAAGCCAAATATGTACACTTTCCAGTTTTTCCATCCCATCACAAAAATATCATAAGATCTATGCAAGTTTATACCAAGTAGATCTGCTGGGGTGGATTGGAGGGAGGTGGAAGAGGGCGAAGAGGGTGGGGGCAGGGAAGTCTGTGTGCCTGTGGAGAAATTGTACTGATCTTGCAGAGCAATCTATTCCTCTCCCACAGCACCTTTGCCCTATCATATCTGAAGTTCCACACATAGGAATTTACTTCCTTAGGCTATCTACTTATATAAAGAGCTTAAACATCAATATTACAAAGGCCAGTGACATAACTTAACATGTAAAAATCATGAACAGAGTTTCCACTGGCCAAGCTTACCCAGAGCTGGAAGATAGACTGATGTCATCCCTACTGATCAATTTTTGGGATATAAGGCAGACAAAAGCTAGGTGGAAAGTGGATTTGGAAGAATGAATGGATGATACCTAGCAGTTCATTTAATCCTGCAGATTTCTCTGAAGAGTCCCTTCCTTAAACTCCTTAACTACCACTCTATATGTGCTAAAACAGGACAAATACATATATAAACATTTTTCATAAAACTTTTACTTCATGAAATGTCCTGAATCTGCTTTTATTTTTAAACTTTTAAAACTTTAATTGTGGTGAAATATATATAATGCAAAAGTGGTTAAAATGTTAAGTTTTTAAAGTTTCAACTGTTATAGATTAAAGGGTACACATGACAACTTGTTACATGAGTAAATTGTGTGACACTGAGGCTTGTGGTTCTAATGATCCCATCACCGAGGCAGTAAGCATAGTTCCCAACAGGTGGTTCTTCAGCACAAAACCCCGTTTGCCTTCCCCAACTAGTGGTCCCCAGTGTCTATTGTTCCCATCTTTATGTTCATGTGTATTCAATGTTTAGCTCCCACTTATAAGTGAGAACATGTAGTATTTCATTTTCTGTTCTTACATTTGGTCAACTTAGGATAATGGCCTCCAGCTCCATCCATATTGCTGCAGAAGACATGATTTCATTTTTTATGGCTGCATAGTATTCCAATGTGTATATGTACCACATTTTATTTATCCAATCCACTGTGATGGGCAACTAAGTTTGATTCCATGTCTTTGCTATTGTAAACAGTGCTGCAGTGAACATACGGGTGTGTGTGTCTTTTTGATAGAATGAATTATTTTCCTTTGGATATATGCCCAGTAGCAGGATTGCTGGGTCCAATGGTAGTTCTATTTTAAGTTCTTAAAAGAAATATCCAAATTGTTTTCCACAGTGGCTGAACTAGTTTTCATTCCTACCAACAGTTTATAAGCACTCCCTTTTCTCTGCAGCCTTGCCAGTGTTTTTTTAATCGCCATTCTGACTAGTGTGAGATAGTATCTCATTGTGGTTTTGATTTGCATTTCTCTGATTAGTTATGTTAAACACTTTTGTACACGTTTGTTGGATTCTATGTCTTCTACATCGATATACAAAAATCAACATTTATACACACAACGTTCTAGCTGAGAAACAATCAAGAACACAATCTCATTTACAATAGCCACAAAGAAAATGAAATACCTAGGCATTCATCTAACCAAGTTGGTGAAAGATCTCTACAAGGAGAACTACAAAACACTGCTGAAAAAAATCAGATGACGTAAATAAATGGAAAAATATTTCATGCTCACAGATTAGAAGAATTAATAGTTAAAATGGCCATGCTGTCCAAAGCAACTTACAGATTCAACAAAATCCCTATCAAAATATCAATGACGGTTTCCAGAGAATTAGAAAAACCAATCCTAAAATTCCCCTGGACTCAAAAACAGCTCAAATAGCCAAAGCAATCCTAAGCAGAAAGAACAAAGCCAGAGGCATCACATTGCCCAACTTCACACTATACTATAAAACTACAGTAATCAAAACAGCATGGTTCTTGTACAAAAGACACATAAACCAGTTGACCAGAATAGAGAACCTAGAAATAAACCCACATACTTACTGCCACCTGGTATTTGACAAAATCAAAAACAATGCAGGAAAGGACTCCCTATTTGGTAAATGGTTCTGGGAAAACTGGCTAGCCATATGACAAAGAATGAAACTGGACCCCTACCTCTCACTGTATACAAAAATCAACTTAAGATGGATCAGAGATTTAACACAAGACCTCAAACTATAAATCCTGGGAGAAAACCTAGGAAATGCCCTTCTCAACATAGGCTTTGGCAAAGAATTTATGACTATGTCCCCAAAAGCAATTGCAACAAAACAAAAATTGGCAAGTGGGACCTAATTAAAGACCTTCTGCACAGCAAAAAAAAAAAAAAAAAAAAAAAAATTCGTCCAGGCACAGTGGCTCACACCTTTAATCCCAGCACTTTGGGAGGCCAAGACAGGTAGATTACAATGACAGGAGTTTGAGACCAGCCTGACCAACATGGTGAAACCCTGTGTCTACTAAAAATACAAAAATTAGCTGGGCATGGTGGTACACACCTGTAATCCCAGCTACTCAGGAGGCTGAGGCAGGAGAATCACTTGAACCCAGGAGGCAGAGGTTACAGTAAGCCAAGAGCACGCCACTGCACTCCAGCCTGGGTGACAGAGCGAGACTCGATCTCAAAAAAAAAAAAAAAAAAAAAAAAAAAGAGAGAAAAGAAATTACCAACAGAGTAAACAGCCTACAAAATAGGAGAAAATATTCAAACTATGCATTTGACAAAGGTCTAATATCCAGAATCTACAAGGAACTTAAACAACAAACATCTAGTCAAAAATATGAGCAAAGGACATGAACAGATGCTTCTCAAAAGAAAATTTTAAGTATAGTGTTCAGTGACACTAAGTACATTTGCATTGTTCTACCATTGCCACCATTCATCCCTGGAACATTTTTCATATTGAAAGACTGAAACTCTGTACCTATTAAATTATAGCTGCCAGTTCCCTCTCCCTCCAGCCCATAGCATCCATTCTACTTTCTGAGTTTAACTACTCTACCTCATAAGTAAAATCATACAATTTTTTATCCTTTTCTGACTGTCTTATTTCACTTATCTCCAAAATACATTCAGATTGTAGCAAGTATCAATTTCCTACTTTCTTAAGGCTGAATAATATTATATACATACTTTTTTATTTGTTTACCTATCAACAAATACTTGGGTTGCTTCCACCTTTTGGCTATTGTGAATATGTTGCCATGACCATGGGTACACAAATATCTCTTCAAGACCATGCTTTTAATTCTTTTGGGCATATACCCATGAGTGGAATTGCTAGATCATATTACCTTTCTATTTTTTGAATATCCATACTGTTTCTCATAGTGGCTGTACCATTGACATTCCTACTAATAGTGCACATGGTTCCAGTTTTTCTAAACTCTTACCACTTGTTAACACTTAACACTTACTATTTGTCATTTTTTCATAGTAGTAATTCTAGAGGATATGAAATGGCATCTCATTGTGATTGATTTGCATTTCCCAGATTATAAGTGATGTTGAGCATCTTTTCATGTGCTTATTGGCCATTCATGAATCTTTAAGGAAATGTTTATTCAAGTCTTTGCCCATTTTTGAATAGGGTACTGAGATGTAAGAGCTCTTTATATATTCTACATATTAGCCCTTTATCAGATATGATTTTCAAATGTCTTCCCATGCCATGAGTTGCCTTTTTATTCTGACGATTAAGTCCTTTGGTGCTCGCAAGTTTTTAATTCTGATACAGTCCAATCTATCTTTATATTTGTTGCCTGTGTTTTTGGTGTTATATCCAATAAAACGTTACCTAATCCAGTGTTATGAAGCTTTTACCCTATGTTTTACAACTTTAGTTTCTGTGTTTAGGTCTTTGAGCCATTTTGGGTTAATTCTTACATATAGTGTAAGTATCCAAACTCAATTCTTCTGCATGCTGATATTCAATGTTCCTTCCTTCTTCTAGTTTTATTCCTTTGTGATTGGAAAAGATACCTTATATGTAAGAGATTTGTCTCAAACTTATTGAAGACTTATTTTGTGGCCTAACTTACTGTCTATTCTGGAGAATTAGAAAGTTCTATGTGTACCTGAGAAAAACGTACAACTTGCTTTTGGGTAGAATGTATATGTTGGTTAGGTCCAATTGGCCTACATGTTGTCCAAGTTTTCTATTATCTTACTGGTCTTCTGTATGATAGTTCTATTATCAAAAGTGAGATATTGACATCTCCTACTATAATTGTAAAGCTATTACTCCCTTCAATTCTGTCAATGTTTGCTTCATATATTTAAGAACTCTGATGTTTGGTACATTTGTTTAGAATTATTCTATCTTAATGAACTTCCCCTTTTATCATTGTTTAATGTTTTTGTCTTTTAGCAGTTTTTGACCATCGTACATTTTGTCTGGTATTAACATAGCCAATCTTGCTCTCTTCTGGTTACTACTTGCGTGTAATAACTTTCTATCTTCTAATTTTCAACCTATACTTGTATATCCTAAAGTGAATTTCATTTACACGGCATTTACTTGGATCCTGTTTGTCTCTTTAAAATTAATTCTGCCAATTTCTATCCTTTGGAGAATTTAATCTATTTACATTTAAAGTAATTACTTATAGAGAAGGACTTACTATTACCATTTTGGCATTTTTCCTGTATGTCTTATAGCTTTTTATAACCCTAATTTCTTCCTTTACTACCTGCCTTTGTGTTTACCTGAGTTTTGTAATTTTTTTTTTTTTTTGAGATAGGTTCTCCCTCTGTCACCCAGACTGAGGTACAGTGGCATGATCAGAGCTCACTGTAGCTTTGACCTCCTGGGCCCAAGCAACCCTCCCTACCTTAGACTCCTGAGTAGCTTGGACTACAGGTGTGACACCACACACAGCTCATGTTTTCTTACATTTTGTAGAGATGAAGTCTTACTATGTTGCCCAGGCTGGTCTTGGACTCCTAGACTCAAGCAATCCTCTTCCCTCAACTTCTCAAAGTGCTGGGAGTCCAGGCATGAGACACTGCTCCTGACCTTGATTTCTTTCTCACTTTCTTCTATATTCTATATACAGTTATTGTGGAGATTATGGTATATCTAACATCCTAAAGTTATAACAACATATTTTAAACTCAAACCAACTTAATTTTAATCACATACAAAAACTCTACTCCTTTACAACTCCTCATGCCTGTACTTTGTTATTGATATCACAAATTACATCTTTATATATTATATACCCATTAACATAAGATTAATAATCATTTATATTAGCATCTATTAAATTTGATAAAAGAATTGAAAATTGAGCTACAAACCCAAATTTTAATAATACAGGTTTTTGTTTCTCCATGTATTTACTTTTACTGAAGAACTTTGTATTTTCACATGGCTTTGAGGTACTGGCTAGTAGTGTCTTTTCATTTCAACTTAACCCTTTATCATTTCTTACAGGGCAGATCTAATGGTAATTGAATTCCTTTAGGTGCTTAGTGATATCTTACAGTGCCCTTAGAGTTGGTTCATTTTTCTTTTTTCTTTTTGCTCCTCAGACTTGATAATCTCAAATGACCTGTCTTCAAATCTACTAGTTCTCCTGCCTGTCTACTATTGAACAACTCCATGAATTTTTCAATTCAGTTACTGTGTTTTTAAGTTCCAGGGTTTTTTTTGGGGGGGGGGGTGTTTTTTTGGCCATTTTTTGTAACTTTAACTTTTTTGTTGCCATTCTGTTTGTTTATACATAGTTTTGTTTCCTTTAGTTGTCTGTCTCCTGTTAGCTCTTTGAGCATATTTAAGACAGTTATCTTAGTCTTTGTCAAGTAAGTTTAAACACTGTTTCTTTAGAGTCAGTTTCTAAAGATTTTTTTCTTGAAAGGTCTGTTTTCCTGTTTCTTTATATCCATTGTAGTCTTTTTTTGAAAATTGGGTATTTAGAACAAAAATAGCTATCTTTTCAACCTTTTTCACACTGGCTCTCTGTAGGGGAAGACCTTCACTGGTCAGCCAGCCTAGGGTGATGACTAAGTGTCTTCTCAGGTCTTTCCAGGGAATTTAACTTTCTTGGATCCGTGCGTGTGCTTTTCCTTCCTAATTCCCCATATCAATGGCTACTTTTAAATGTCTTCATTTCTGTAAGAGTCTCCTCTCTGCTTCTTCTCAAGGCCTTGAAAGTTCTACTGTATTTCTCTGCCCATAACCTCTGTCCCCCAAGAACCTACAGGTCTGCAGTCTCTGCACCAATCAGGTGCCGTGGCACTGACCACTGCTTTCACCCTCCAACCTCATATTCAAACTGTGCAAACTGTTCCCATGGGAGTTCCAAGTCAAGTAAGACAAATGGTTTCTTGGATAGTAGCCCCCACCCCCCTGCCCCCACCACCCCACCTGACAATCCAGAATGTTAAAAATAGTTTAATCTTCCTCTGTCCCAAGGGAGAAACTGGGAATTGGGTGGCTTCCTCCTTCTGACTGCTCTACCAGACCATGGAGGAACTAGGGCAAAAGTGAGCAAAATTTAACAATTTTCTACCATTTCAGTATGACTTTTTCTTGGTTGGGCATCCACTTTGTTTCTACAGATTCTCACCTGGTTTCTAGAGCTCACACAAAGCTGTTTCAGCCAACCTATTGTGCATTTGATGTTTTCAGGGGGAATGAGAGCCTAGAGCTTCATAGTCCACCATTTTGCTGGTGTCACTCATATAAGTAACATTTTGTCATAAACTTTTCAGCTATATGCAATTACACTAATTTCTATGAATACATTTTCTTATGATCATATTGTTATGGGATCTCTGGGGTGTCAATTTTCTGGCTGGAAACCTCTGACTTCTGTGGCCATGGCACTTTTGCCCGTGTTCTTGTCCTGCATCCAGAAAGAATGAGGTACACAGACAAGTGAAGGGTGAACAAGATGAAGATGAGCTTTATTGAGTGTTAATAGCTCGGAGGAGACCTGGAATGGGTAGCTCCTCTCTGTAGGAAGGTCATCCATTGAGTGTTCAGTTCTCAGCAGAGAAGAGGCCCTAGAGAGGGTAGCTCTTCTCTGCAACTGGTCTTCCTGATGTCTGCAGCTCTCAGCAGAACGGGTAGTTCCTCTCTGTAACTGGTTGTTCCCTCATCTCTAGCTATCAGCAGAGAGGGTAGGTCCTCTCTGTAGCTGATTGGCAGGTAGTCTCTCTGCCCTCTTCATCCTCTGGGCATCCTCTGCCCTGCTCTGGCTAAGCCCAGGGCTTTTATGGACCTCAAAGGGGAGGGAGTGTGTACCAATTGGCCCATGGCTGCCCATGAACAGGTTGGAAAAGGCACCACAAGTTCCCACTCTGGTCCGAGTTCCCACTCTGGTCCATGGAACTGGCAGCCAGGCCCCCAGCCTTCAGGCCCTCCCTGTCCTGAAGGTGGGGCCTTACTGGGGACCTACCCCCACTTCCACCCAGGAATCAATCTGCCTCCCACTGCCATTCATGACCCCAGGCCCCAACCCATTCCAAGATTGGAGCAGGTGTGGGAGAGGAGAGAAGCCAGGCAGCAGAAGCAGACATCCCTGAGCCAGCAAGGATGTAGGGAGGAAGGTTGTGTGGACCTTCCCAGGCCCTGGAGGATGTATGCTGCAAAGATGCCCAGGTCCTGCACCTGCTGTACCTGGGGCGCTCCCACCTCACAACTCAGAAGGAGTGGGTTTCCTGCTTCTCCCTGGCTCCTGCCAGCTCAGCGGAATGGGAGGCCCAGGTCTGCAGCCACAGGCCTGCCAACTGCAGCTGCACCCAGGAGGGGACATCCTGCCTGCTCCTGGACCCCTCCAGGAGCACAAGGAGGCTCACACCCACAGTTGCAGTTTGGGTGGCTGTAGCTCTGCCCAGGAGGGCGGGGCTCCTGCCGATTCCGTAGAGCAGGAAACCGGGGTCTGCAACCATGGTTTGAGCAGGCTCCTGCCCCAACTCAGAAGGGGCAGAGCTCCCACCAGCTCCACAGAGTGTGCATCCCCAGCCGCGCTTCCCTGCTGCAGCTGCACCTTCCTGCCGCAGCTGGCGTGATGGCAGCAGCCACTGCCATCAATATAATATACATCATTTGTATAACCCGTATTACAAACTGATCTGCTATTATGATTTAGTGTGGAAGAGAGTGCACTTTCTTTGAAGCTGAATAGATCTAGACCATACACTGTTTAAGGAAAAATACTAATAACAGAGCTAATTCTTTATCATACATATTTGTTTTTCAAATGCAAACACTAATTTTTAGTGAAAAAGAAAGTTACCACTTAAGATACACCTATTATGGTAGAATTTTTAAAGCTGTATTATTCAGTATTATTGATTTGTGTTCACTATTCACAAATTAGAATTTTACTTGTATTATATATTCCATTTAGCATAGAAAGTAGACATTCTGATTGGACTTAAAAGAATACTGATTCTTAAGAAATATTGGACCTAGAAGATGTCTGGGGTTCTTGACTATGAAGAAATACATTTAGTGTGTAGCAATTAGTTTTTGATGTGTGCTACAAGTAATTTATTGTTTATATCACCTTTATACAAGCTATTCAATCTGTAATCCCCTTTGTTATAGTATAATTATTAAGAAAAATCAGACTAGCATCCAAAAATAAGAGGTAGCCTACATTTTCACTGCAGCCTCTTGAGCAATGCCAAGTGTTCCATTCACAGCATACAGCAAATTAACAACATAAATGTGTTCTCCAGTTAGTCAGCTCATCTACATACTCTTTCCCATGATCCAACACACATATATACACACCCAACCTGCAGCTGTACCCTGATCTTTTTTTTTTTCCAAAAGTCTTCTAAAACCTGCCTGTGACATCTTTTCTTTGTCCAAATCCCATTTTCACCTTCCTACTTACCTGTAACTTCTTATTCAATTTTCCCTGGGCCCAAACCCATGTAGGATGGAGTTAACCCATGTTCTTCCTGTCTACCACAATATCTTCACATTAAACATGAAAACATGTGAAAGGGTCTTGTAAATTGGAAAATGCTACAAAATTAATTTAGTATGTGTTAGATTTCAGAGTATTAGAATATACAAAGTTATTTACTCCAAGCTTTAAAAAACATGAGGAATCACGCCTGTAATCCCAGCACTTTGGGAGGCCGAGGCGGGCGGATCATGAGGTCAGGAGATCGAGACCCTCCTGGCTAACACAGTGAAACCCCATCTCTACTAAAAATACAAAAAATTAGCCAGGCGTGGTGGCAGGCGCCTGTAGTCCCAGCTACTTGGGAGGCTGAGGCAGAAGAATGGCGTGAACCCGGGAGGCGGAGCTTGGAGTGAGCCAAGATCGCGCCACTGCACTCCAGCCTGGGCGACAGAGCGAGACTCCATCTCAAAAAAAAAAAAAAAAAAAAGAGGAAAAACATAACATCCAAAGCTCCAATAAGCATATTAAGAAAATGTGGCCCAGAAACATGTAAGACCTCTGATATTGCCAAGCTCTTGACCAGGAACCATGAGTTTACATCTCCATGCCTGTGAGATTTACCCAGTGCCTCTGGCTGGTGTACTCAAGGGAAGAAATGTAGGTCTCCAAATCTCCCTCAGGAATTTTGATTAGAGGTTTGGCTTACAGACCAAAAGAACAGCTTTCTTCCTGTCTCACTTTGTGTTTGAAACACCCGAAAAGGCAAATCTGCCCAAAAGGGGAATCTTATGTTTGGCGTAGAAGGAGGATCAGAGGAAAAAGAAGAGGAAAGTTGAATTCTTATAGTAGACATGGCATCTGTTTTTTTTGTTTTGTTTTGTTGTGTGTGTGTGTGTGTGTGTGTGTGTGTGTGTGTGTGTGTGTGTTACTGAGTCTCACTCTTTCCCCCAGGCTGGAGTGCAGTGGCACAATCTTATCTTACTGCACCTCCGCCTCCAAGATTCAAGTGATTCTCCTGCCTCTATCTCCCAAGTACCTGGGATTACAGGTGTGTGCCACCATGCCTGGCTAATTTTTGTATTTTTAATAGAGATAGGGTTTTGTCATGTTGGTCAGGCTGGTCTTGAACTCCTGACCTGTCTCGGCCTCCCAAAGTGCTGGAATTACAGGTGGGAGCCACTGTGCCTGGCCTATGTTTATTTTTCTAAACATATAACTCATGAAACCCTCACAGGTAGAGGTAATTATAATTATTCCTATTTTACTAAAGAGGCAACTGAGGTACCATAGAGCTAAATAATTTGCCCAAGGATATGTGGCCAGTGACTTGCAGGGCAGGAATTGAACTCAAGTCTGTCTCGTTCTAAAGAGCATGGTCTTAACTTTTGCCACTTGCCTGTAAGGGAGGATGAGTGCTTTACTCTTCTCATTCTTACCTTTTGTCTCTCTGAAATAGTCGCTAGTATCTTTAAATCCACTGAAGGCCTGAATAAAATTAAAAGTCAGAGGAAATGTGAACTCACTCTGCCTGAGCTGTGGCATCTCTCTACTTTCCTGCTCTCAGATATTGGTGCTTTTGATTCTCCTTAGAACACAGGACACAGACAAGGACTTACGCCATTGGCTCCCCAGTTCTCAGGCCTCTCAACTCAGGTGAATTACACCAGCTTCTCCAGCTTTCCAGCTTGCAGACAGCAGGTCATGGGATATCTTGACCTCCATAATCATGTGAGCCAATTTCTATAATATTTTTGTGTATGTATGTTATACTGGCTCTTTTCTTTCCCTGGTGAACTGTCTAATATAGGTTTTGTTACTGAAAGAATGGTTCTAGAGAAAGAAAATAAAAATACGTTTTCTAAACTGGTTCTGGGGTTTCTGAAATTGGCTTTCTAATCTGATTAGATTTAAAGACACTAATAACTCTATTTCCAGTAACAGAGAGCAGTGATATTCTATGGCATAAACTCTTCATAGAGACACACAAAATATCTGCATTCAATACTTCTAATCAACCACTTATATCAAGGAACTTGCTTAGAAACAAGGAGTTAAGTGACTCTGTACATACTTTCAAACATTTTTGGAAAACTAAAAAATGGCATTGGGTTGTTGCTGCACTGGACAAAGTGGAAAAAGGGTGAGCTCAGGGACTCAAATTCCCAGCTCAAGCACTACATAAATGACCTCAGAACTTTCAGGCATGCCTAGAGGAGAACCTTATCTCCTGTAGCTACAGGGCTAAATAACTAAAAATCAAACGCAGAACCTGATCCTGAAATTAGCTGAATCACAATGCAAGTTGAATTCCCAGCTTTGCATGCTATCTACTGTTAAAATTAGGGAATTGACTGGGAACAAATGGGATCTTATAAGTTGGAATGGGGACATGTGGGAAGATTCTGATGAAGCTGGGGAAATTTAGTTCCTAAATAAGTCCTTTTTCCCAGAAGAAGGGGCCTCCTGATTCCCAGCAGTAACAGCCTTTCTCCCTCAATCTGAAGAGATTAATCCTCCCTTGCTTGAGGAAATGGTAATGGCCCACCTTGAGGAAGTTACTATGTAAGACAATGCTGGCTCTGCTCAGGACCCACCAATACCCCTCTTTGCTTTTAGACCTCTAACTAGACTCAAGTCCCAGGAAATATCTAAAGGTAAAGTACAAAATATTACCCAGGAGGGGCTACACTACACTCAAAAAGAGCTACCTGAGTTTGCTAACTTATATAAACAGAAATCCAGAGCCATGTATGGGAATGGGTGTTAAAGGTATCAGATGATGGTAGAAAAAAACTTATGGATCAGACTGAATTTATTGATATAGACTCACTAAGCAGATTCTGCATTTAATGTTCTGGCTCAAAGAGTTAGGAAGAGCTCTAACAGTTTGGTTGATTGGCTGAAATATGAATAAAATGATGGCCTACCATGAAAAAATGTAAATGCCCAAACTCCCTTGGTTTAATGTAGAAAAAAGGAATTCAAAGGCTTAGGGAGATTGGAATGTTAGTGTGGATCTCATTTAAGACCTACCCACCCACTCTTGGAGGGTCCTGAAGACCTACCTTTCACTAATATGTTGAGAAATACATTAGTTAGGTGAGCTCCAGTGTCCTTGAAGAACTCCATAATTATTATTTGTAGGCTAGGCCTTTCAGTGGTGACTGCAGCCACTCAACTGGAAAACCTAAATGCAATGTGAATAATTGGATTCCACAGTGGCAGGGGCCAAGTGGCAACACTGAATCACCAAAAGCAAGTTGGGAATAATACCATAATGGACAGCAAAGTCAAAGCCACAATCAGAATAGTTGGACTCACGTAGACCTGTGGTATTGGCTAATCATAATCCTAGAAATGAAATAGACAGGAAGCCCAGTAAACTTTTACTTCATCTATATAAGCAGAAAAGTCCTAGATCAAGTAAACAAAGTCTAAATTGAATAATAAAAACAGTCATGATCCCTCAATTCCCAGGGTTGAGCCAGATTATAGATGTATACCCCTTGAATGAAGGAGAGGCAAGGGAGCCTCAAAGAGGGCCCTCAATACACTACCAAAAGTATATACTGTCAATCTTTCACCCTGCCTTTCCCAAAGGGACCTACCTTTTTTAAACCACTTTAACTATACATTGAACAAAAGGAAATCAGAACTTTCAAGAACTACTAGACACTGGCTCAGAAATGACATTGATTCCAGAAGCCCAAAACATCGTTGTGGCTCTCCAGTAAGAGTAGGGGTTATGGAGGTCAGGTGATCAATGGAATTTTAACTCAAGTCTGTGTTACAGTGGGTCTCGTAGATTCCCAAACCCACCCTGTGTTTATTTCCCCAGATTCAGAATGCTTAAATAAAATAGATATACTTAGCAGCTAGTAGAAAACCCACAGTGGTTTCCTGACCTGTAGGGTAAGGGCTATTACTGAGAGACAGGACTAGCTGAATTTCCTAGGCTGACTAAGAATTCCTAAGCCTAGCTATGGAAGGTGACCACACCCACCTTTAAACATGGGGCTTGTAACTCAATTCACACCTGACCAATCAGATAGTAAAGAGGGGCTCACTAAAATACCAATTAGGCTAAAGGCGGAAGGTAAAAGAAATAGTCAATCATCTAACAACTGAGAGCACAGTGGGGGGGACAATGATTGGGATATAAACCCCAGGCATTCGAGCCAGGAGTGGGCAACACCCTTTGGGTCCCCTCCCATTGGATGGGAGCTCTGTTTTCACTCTATTAAATCTTGCAATTACACATTCTTCTGGTCCATGTTTGTTACAGCTCAAGCTGAGCTTTCACTTGCCGTCCACCACGGCTGTTCACCGTCCACCATGGCTTTTTGCTGCAATCCCAGAACCACTGTTGACTTCCACCCCTCTGGATACGGCAGGGTGTCTGCTGTGCTTCTGATCTAGCGAGGTGCCCATTGCCACTCCCGGTTGGGCTAGAGGCTCACCATTGTTCCTGCATGGCTAAGGCCCCAAGGTTCATCCTAATTGAGCTAAACACTAGTTGCTGGTTTCCATGGTTCTCTTCCATGGCCCACGGCTTCTAATAGAGCTATAATGCTCACTGCATAGCCCAAGGTTCCATTCCTTGGAATCTGTGAGGCCAAGAACCCCAGGTCAGAGAACAAAAGGCTTGCTGCCATCTTGGGAGTGGCCCCCCACATCTTGGGAACTCTAAGAACAAAGACCCCCAGTAACATTTGGTGGCCTCATATGGGGATTCTCCAAAGCAGTGAATAATATCAGACCACTTTCACTTGCTATTCTGTCCTATTGTTCCTTAGAATTGGAGGAAAATACCAGGCACCTGGTCGGCTGGTTAGAAATGATTAGCATGGCCGCCGGACTCAGGTGTGAGGCTTCCTGGGAAAAGGCTTTCTAACAACCCCCAACCCTTCTGGGTTGGGAGCATTAGTCTGTCTGGAACCAGCTTCCAGTTTCACAATTTCCTGGGGGAAGCTGAGGGCTGACTAGAGGCAGAAAGCTGTCGTCCTGAACTCTCAGAATTGGCCAATTGGGATCATGGTGCAGCCAGAAGTCTCTACTCCCATGTGTGTACCCCTACTTCTTCTGACCCATACCTCCTGGGTCCCAACCATGACTTTCTTGAAAGTGTAGCCCCAAAATTCTCCTTACCTCTCATCTACTTCCTGTGATCCCTGCCTCCTAGGTACCAATGCTTCAGACTTTTACTTCCGCTCCCAAGTATTAGAGCAAGTTGTATCTCCAAAGGGATCTAGGGAAGCTCTATGCTGTGTCCTTAGGCATCTAGGCTATGAACCCAGGGAGTCTTGTCCCTGATGACCCTCCCAATTTAGGTATATAGCTCTCGACATGGGCAGTTATGTGGGACCCGTTCCCCACCACCCTTGCCAAGCCTCCAAGTTCTATTATGAGCCATGGCCCCACATTTGTAAATGGCTAGGAGGATTGTTCTCCCATGTGTAAGATGTTCTCCCCCAATTTCTACCCAGCTTACACCTCTGCAATACAATCTCCAAGCCTTGGCTCCTTGGCCAGGGCCTTAGAACTGATGACCCAGTACTTTAACAACTGGGACTATGTCTACGACAACATACTAGATCAGGATGAAAACGAATTGAGTAAATTAAAGGGAGGCCCATATTCCTATAGTGGCAAATGGGGACAATGAGCAAATGTCCTTCCACTGTGTTTCCAAAATCCATCTACAAAGACAGAGAGAAAAGAGAGAGGGAAAGAGGCAGAGAGACAGAGTCAAAGAGAGAAAGAAAAAGATGGAAGTAGTAAAGAAAAAAGCGTGCCCTATTCCTTTAAAAGCCAGGGTAAATTTAAAACCTATAATTGATAATTGAAGGTCTTCTCCATGACTCTATAACACTCCAGTACTACCTTGTTGGTGTAAACAAGGGCGTAGCCTGAAAACACTGAGACCACTGACAACCTGTAGCCTTCCTATCAAATATCCTTAACGCAGTAACCCGCATATGGACCAAATGCATTCAGTCGGTAGCGGCAACTGCTTTGCTAAAAGTAGAAAAATAACCTTTAGAGGAAACCTCATTGTGAGCACAGCTCACCAGTTCAGAACTATCCTAAGTCAAAAAGCAAAACGGGAGCTTACTAACTCAAAAATCTTAAAGTATGGGGCTGTTCTGTTAGAAAAAGGTGATTTAACACTAACCACTGAAAATTCCCTTAACCCGGCAGATTTCCTAACAGAGGATTTAAATCTTCACTACCATACAAAGGTCCAACCAGACTTAGGAAGAATTCCCTTCAGGACAGGACAATAGATGCTTCCTCCCGGGTGATTGAGGGAAAAAAAAAAAACACAATGGGTATTCAGTAACTGATAGGGAGACTCTAGTGGAAGCAGAGTTAGGAGAATTGCCTAAATAATTGGTCTGCTCAAACGTGCCAGCTGTTTGCATTCAGCCAAGCCTTAAAGTACTTACAGAATCAAAACTCCATCTCAATCCTGACTCAAAAGGTTACCTACACCCTCTCTGAAATGAATTTGTGTAAGAACTGTTGTTTACGGGAATGCATCTTGATGGGGCAGCTGGGTTGTTATGAAATACTCAGGAAACCAGCTCAGCTCTAGAACTCGCCTCTGAGTGCAAAGGCAATGTTGGGCACTCTGGTAAAGGACCACTGGAATCTAGCAGCCTGGACCCCTTTCTTTGTGGTCAAGAAAGGCGGGAAAACAGGTGCAGGACTGCTACATTGGTGAGTGTAACTAATCTGATAAGCAGAGGTCCATGGGTTGTTACACACCTTGGAAATGAATAAGCATTAGGACCATAGAGGATGCTCTAGGACTAATGCTCATCAGAAAATGACTAGGTGTGCTGCCATCCCTATGTTCTTTTTTCAGATGTGAAATGTTCCCTCTCATGGCAAAAATGCACCCAAGATGTATTCTGGAGAATTCGGCCCAGTCAGAGTGCATGTACCTTTTTCCCTCTCAGATTTAAAGCAAATTAAAATAGACCTAGGTAAATTCTCAGATAACCCTGATGGCTATATTGATGTTTTACAAGGGTTAGGACAATCCTTTGATCTGACATGGAGAGAGATGTTACTGCTAAATCAGACACTAACCCCAAATGAGAGAAGTGCCACCATAACTGCAGCCCAAGAGTTTTGCGATCTCTGGTATCTCAGTCAGGTCAATGAAAGAATGACAACAGGAAAGAGAATGATTCCCCACAGGTCAGCAGGCAGTTCCCAATGTAGACCCTCACTGGGACGCAGAATCAGAACATGGAGATTGGTGCCGCAGACATTTGCTAACTTGCATGCTAGAAGGACTAAGGAAAACTAGGAAGAATCCTATAAATTATTAAATGATGTCCACTATAACACAGGGAAAGGAAGAAAATCCTATCGCCTTTCTGTAGAGACTAAGGGAGGCATTGAGGAAGCATACCTCTCTGTCACCTGACTCCATTGAAGGCCAAGTAATCTTAAAAGAAAAGTTTATCACTCAGTCAGCTGCAGACATTAGAAAAAAACTTCAAAAGTCTGCCTTAGGCCCAGAGCAAAACTTAGAAACCCTATTGAACTTGGCAAACTCGGTTTTTTATAATAGAGATCAGGAAGAGCAGGTGGAACGGGACAAACAGGATTAAAAAAAAGGCCACCACTGTAGTCATGGCCCTCAGGCAAGCGGACTTTGGAGGTTCTGGAACAGGGAAAGGCTGGGCAAATTGAATGCCTAATAGGGCTTGCTTCCAGTACGGTCTACAAGGACACTTTTAAAAAGATTGTCCGAATAGAAATAAGCCTCCCCCTCTTCCATGCCCCTTATGTCAAGGGAATCACTGGAAGGTCCACTGCCCCAGGGGATGAAGGTCCTCTGACTCAGAAGCCACTAACCAGATGATCCAGCAGCAGGACTGAGGGTGACCAGGGCAAGCGCCAGCCCATGTCATCACCCTCACAGAGCCCTGGGTATACTTGACCATTGAGGGTCAGGAGGTTAACTGTCTTCTGGACACTGGCACAGCCTTCTCAGTCTTACTCTCCTATTCTGGACAACTGTCCTCCAGATCTGTCACTATTCGAGGGGTCCTAGGACAGGCAGTCACTAGATACTTCTCCCAGTCACTAAGTTGTGACTGGGGAACTTTACTCTTTTCAAATGCCTTTCTAATTATGCCTGAAAGCCCCACTCCTTTGTTAAGGAGAGACATTCTAGCAAAAGCAGAGGCCATTATACACCTGAACATAGGAAAAGGAACACCCGTTTGTTGTCCCCTGCTTAAGGAAGGAATTAATCCTGAAGTCTAGGTAACAGAAGGACAATATGGACAAGCAAAGAATGCCTATCCTGTTCAAGTTATACTAAAGAATTCCACCTCCTTTACCTACCAAAGGCAGTACACCCTTAGACCCGAGGCCCAACAAGGACTCCAAAAGATTAAGGACCTAAAAGCCCGAGGCCTAGTGAAACCATGCAATAGCCCCTGCAATACTCCAAGTTTAGGAGTACCGAAACCCAACGGACAGTGGAGGTTAGTGCAAGATCTCAGGATTATCAATGAGGCTGTTGTCACTCTATACCCAGCTGTACCTAACCCTTATACTCTGCTTTCCCAAATACCAGAGGAAGCAGAGTTGTTTATAGTCCTGAACCTTAAGGATGCCTTTTTCTGCATCCCTGTATCTTTAACCTCCTTGTTAAGTTTGTCTCTTCCAGAATCAAAGCTGTAAAACTACAAATCTTTCTTCAAATGGAGCCCCAGATGCAGCCCATGACTAAGATCTACCACAGACCCCTGGACCGACTTGCTAGCCCATGCTCTGTTGTTGATGACATCGAAGGCACTCCTCCTGAGGAAATCTCAACTGCACAACCCCTACTACACCCCAATTCAGCAGGAAGCAGTTAGAGCAATCATCAGCCAACCTCCCCAATAGCACTTGAGTTTTCATGTTGAGGGGGCTACTGAGAGACAGGACTAGCTGGATTTCCTAGGCCGACAAAGAATTCCTAAGCCTAGCTGGGAAGGTGACCACACCCATCTTTAAACACGGGGCTTGTAACTCAGTTCACACCCGACAAATCAGGTAGTAAAGAGCGGCTCACTAAAATACCAATTAAGCTAAAGGCAGGAGGTAAAAGAAACAGTCAATCATCTATCACCTGAGAACACAGAGGGAGAGACAATGATTGGGATATAAACCCCAGGCATTCGAGCCAGGGGTGGGCAACCCCCTTTGGGTCCCCTCCCATTGTATGGGAGCTCTATGTTCACTCTATTAAATCTTGCAATTACACTCTCTTCTGGTCCATGTTTCTTATGGCTTAAGCTGAGCTTTCACTCGCCATCCACCACTGCTGTTTGCCGCCGTCGCACACCCGCTGTTGACTTCCACCCCTCCGATGCGGCAGGGTGTCCGCTGTGCTTCTGATCTAGTGAGGTGCCCATTGCCATTCCTGATCAGGCTAGAGGCTCACCATTGTTCCTGCATGGCTAAGGGCCCAGGGTTCATTCTAATCGAGCTGAATACTAGTTGCTGGGTTCCATGGTTCTCTTCCGTGACCCACGGCTTCTAACAGAGCTATAACACTCACCGCATGGCCCAAGGTTCCATTCCTTGGAATCCATGAGGCCAAGAACCCCAGGTCAGAGAACAAAAGGCCTGCCCCCATCTTGGGAGCGGCCCACCACATCTGGGGAGCTCTAAGAACAAAGACCTGTCCGTAACTTGATGGACAAGGTCAAGTAGAAGCCATTGTAACTGCCTCTACCTAGGAAAATAGTGCATTAAAAGCAATGTGGCATCCCTGATGGTATTGCAGAGATTAGTGCCACCATCGACAACTTGAAAGATGCAGGGATAGTGATTCCCACCACATCCCCATTCCACTCTACTTAGCCTATACAGAAGATCTTGGAGAATAACAGTAGGTTACTGTAAGCTTAATCAAGTGGTAACTCCAATTGTAGCTGCTATACCAGATGTGATTTCATTGCTTCAGCCAATTAACACATCCCCTGGTACCTGGTATACGGTTATTTACCTGTCCTTTTTATCCATACCTGTTCATACCAGAAACAGTTTCCTTTCAGCTGGCAAGGCCAGAAATATACCTTCACTGTCCTACCTCAGGGGTATATCAACTCTTTTGCCCTGTGTTATAATTTGGTTTCCAGGGATCTTGACCACCTTTCCCTTCTACAGGGCATTCCATTTGTTCATTACATTGACATGCTGACCTAATGAGCAAGAATTAGCAACTATCCTAAACTTATTGGTAAAACATTTACATACCAGAAGGTGAGAAATAAATCCAACTACAATTCAGGGGCCTTCTACCTCAGGGAAAGCTTTAGAGTTGCAGTTGTATATCAAGATATCCCTTCTAAGGTGAAGAATAAGTTATTGTATCTGGCCCCTCTCACAAGCAAGAGAGAGGTACAATGTCTAATGGACCTGTCTGGATCTTGAAAACAATGTGTCTGTCATTTGGACATGTTACTCCAGCCCATTCACCACATTAATGGAAAAGCTGCCAGTTTGGAGTGAGGCCCAGAATTTTTTAAAAGGCTCTGCAATAGGTCCACGCAGCTGTGCAAGCTGTTCTGAGACTTGGGCCATGTGATCCAGCGGATCCTATGGTGCTTGAAATGCCAATGGAGAAAGATGCTGTTTGGAGCCGTTGGTGGGGCATTATTGGTGATTTGCAACATAAGCCTTTAGGATTTTGGAACAAAGCCCTGCCATCATCTACAGATAACTACTCTCCTTTTGATAGATGTCTTTTGGACTGCTACTGGGTCTTAATAGAAATAGAACACTTGACCATGAGTCACCAAGTTTCCATTGCAACTGAGCTTACCATTATACACTAGTTATCTGACTCATCAAGCCATAAAGTTAGGTGTGCACAGCACTGCTACATTAAGTGGAAGTTATATGTGTGTAATCAGGCTCAAGAAGGCCCTGAAGGTACAAGTAGGTTATATAAAGAAGTGGCCCAAATGCTTGTAGTCCCAACTCAGGCTATACTGCCTCTCTCTCCCAGCCTGCACCTATGGCCTCATGGGAGTTCCCGATGATCAATTGACAGAGGAACAGATTTGTGCCTCATTTGCAGATGGTTCTATATAAAATGTGGGAGCTGCCTGAAAGTGAACAGGGGCAGTACTACAGGCTCTCTCTGGAATATACATAAAGAACAGTAGTAAAGGGAAACCCTGCCAGTGGGCAGAAATTTGGGCACCGTACCTGGTTGTGGACTTTGCTCAGAAGAAATGGCCAGATATGGTATACCAATTAATGAGCTGTAGACAATAATTCAGAGTTGGAAGAAAACATGACTAGAAAACTGACAAACTTGGAAGCGGTGTGTCAATAGACCTCTCTGAATGGACAAAATGCAATATTTGTGTCCCATGTGAATTCTCAAAGTGACCTCAACAGAGAAGGATTTTAATAACGTGATTGGTGTTCACAGAATGGGTCATTTTATCAGTCTTTTTCCCCAACTACCTCTTTGCCCAATGGTCTCATTTTAAAAAAATGGTCATAGTGGCAGAGATAGAGGCTATGCGTGGGCTCGGCAATGTGGACTTCCACTCACCAAGGCTGACTTGCTGAATGCCGATCTGATAGCAGCTAAAGATGATACTGAGCCTCCAATTTGGCACCATTTCTTGAAGTGATCAGCCAGCCACCTAGTGTGGCAAGGTTGATTACATTGGATCTCTTCCATCATGAAATGGGCAGCATTTTGTTCTTACAGAGTAGACATTTACTCTGGATATGGATTTGCCTTCCCTGAACACAATGCTTCTGCCAAAATTATCTGTAGACTTACAAAATGCCTCATCCACCATAATGATACTCCACACAGAAGCTTATCAAGGAACTCACATCACAGAAAAGAAGTGAGGCAATTGGCCCATGCTCATCGAATTAACTGATCTTACCATGTTCCTCATTATCGTGAAGCAGCTGGCTTCACAGGATGGTGGGGCTAACTAGGTTGGAATACCTTGCAGAGTTGGGGTTCTCCAGAGACTGTATACTCTCTGAATCAGTGTCCAATATATGGTGCTATTTCTGATAGCCAGGAATCAAGGGGGTAGAAATAGAGTGGCACCTCTCATTTACTAGCAAAACTTTTGCTTCCTGTTCCAACTTTATGCTCTGCTGGCCTAGAGATCTTAGTTCCAGAGGGGGGAAAATGCTTCCACCAGGAGACCCAACCATAATTCCTTTGAACTGCAAGTTAAGATTGCCACCTGGCCACTTTGGACTCCTCCTGCCTCTGAGTCAACAGTAAAAGAAAGGAGTTATGTGGGCTGGGGTGATTGATATGGACTACCAAAAGGAAATTGAACTCTACTACTCCACAGCTGAGGTAAAGTAGAATGTCTGGGATACAGGAAACCCCCTAGGGTGTCTTTTAGTATTACCATGTTCTTTTGTTAACATCAATAGGAAACTATAACCCAATACAGACAGGAATTGTCAGGAAAAGTGACCCAGACCTTTCAAGAATGAAGGTTTGGGTCACCCTGAAAAGCAAATAACTGACCAGTTGAGATTGTTGCTGAAGGCAAAGAGAATGCAGAATGGGTGGTAGAAGAAGTTATAAATACCAGCTACAACCATGTGGCCAGTTATAGAAATGAGGACTGTAATTGTCACAAATGTTTTCTCATTTTGTTATATATACATTTGTGTATATATATATATATATAGATACATATTAAGCAAATATCTTTCTTTCATTCTGTTACGTAACATAAGACATTGACTTTATTAGTATTTAATATTGCTAATTTTACATCATAGTATCTAAGTATAGGATAACAGATTAAACATTATTCAGAATTTTTCCTTTTGGGGAGAAGGGATTAATTTTAGGTTGTACACAGGATTACATCATGTTAGAATTCTGACCTTATTATGTTTATTTGGAAACTATGGTTTGTATGGCATGGTAAAGAGATGTCTAAGTGCCAAGTTGACAAAGGGTAGACTTGTGATGTTAATTTTATGTGTCAACTTGACTGAGCTAAAGGGTGACCAGATAGCTAACAAAACATGTTTTCTAGGTATATCTGTGAAGGTGTCTCTAGAAGAGATCAGCAATCTAACTGATCAACTGAGTAAAGTAGAAAGGCCCTTCACCATGTTGATGGGCATCATCTAATCCATTGAAAGTCTGAACAGAAAAAGGCAGAGGGAGAGCAAATTGGCTCTCTGCTTAAGTTGAGATGTCCATTTTCTCCTGCCTTCAGACCTCAGACATCGGTATTCCCATTGACCTCCCAACTCACAGGCCTTTAGATTCAGGTTGAATTACATCACCAGCTTTCCTAGTTTTCCAGCTTACCAACAGCAGATCATGGGACAACCTAGTCTCCATAACCATGTAAGCCAATGCCTATTATCTCTTTAAATATCTCTGTGTATATTCCATTGGTTATTTTCCTCTGGAGACTCCTAATACAGCTATATACATTTAAACTTCAAATTCAACAGTCATGGTCATTTAGAACATGTAGTGTTTCCTTAATCTGCAAGAGATGGTGAGGAAGAAGAAATGACAACTTATGAAAATTATTCTACTGCAGGTATGATGGCTAAATTTTACATGCCAATTTGATTGGTCACCATGGGGTGCCCAGGTAATTTCATTAAACCTCGTGTCTGTGTTTCTGGAGAAGATTAGCATTTGAAGTAGCAGACTGGGTAAAGCAGATAGCCCTCCTCAATGTGAGTGTGCATCATTCCATCCATGTAGGACCTAAATAGAACAAAAAGCAGAGGAAGGGAAAATCCTCTGTGTGTGTATTATGTGTATGTATATATGTGTGTGTGTGTGTGTGTGTGTATATATACATATATATATACACACATATATATATATATACATATATATATATATATATACTCTTCTGTTTCTCCAGAGAACCTAACAGCAAGCATGTTTCTTACTCTAGATCAGGGGTATCCAATCTTTTGGCTTCCCTGGGCCACAGTGGGAGAATTATTGTCTTGGGTCATGTATAAAATACACTAATGATAGCTGATGAACTAAAAAAAAAATTGCAAAAAACTCAATGTTTTAAAGCTTACAAATTTGTGTTGAGATGTATTCAAAGCTGTCTTGGGCCACAGGTTGGACAACCTTGCTCCAGATGAAAGATTTCGAAGCAAGTAGAATACAAAACGGACAGCAAAGAAACTGAAAAATTGAACTTACTTGAAAAATGTTTAAATATCAAAACTTGTTATTCCCAGAAGATGCATTTGACAATTCTTGGTTATAAAACAGCTCATCTATCTTCAAGTCATCCAGCCCTTTGCTTTGATCCATGTTTTTCTGCATCAGAATTATAAGAACCAATAAAATGCAAGATAGTAATCTCCTCAAACACTGCCTATCCAGCCAATATGAAATTGATACTGTTCTTAAATGAAATCTGAGTTTTAAAAGTACAATATTAAGTTTTTATGAATTTTCGTGTGCAGTGTTTAGCTTGCTTTTATCCAATGTTTTAGAATGGTGTGTGTTTAGCATTATTTTAACTTGATTTTTACTATGCGTATAAAAATATTTTAAAAGTATCAAATATTCCATCTTACTTGTTTTTAAGTTTTATGAATATTCTTATGAAATACTCTTATTAATACCAGCATTTCATTACATTAAAATAAAATCCTTAGGTATGCATATTATATGTTTTGGGGTTTTGTGGTTTCTTGTGCTTTGGAATTGCAATCACTAAAACATATTATCTCTTCTATCCAGTAGTTCATGATTTAGCAGAGAGACAATCTATCTAAACTGCTGCTAGAGATCATTGAGCTTTAACAAAGTCTTGAAAGGTGTATGAGTTAGAGAGTGACATCCCAGGAGGAGGGGACAGCAGGGGTAAATACAGAGAGGCAGGAAATGGCAAGCATGAGCACTGGAATGAAACTAGGAGCAAGCAATGGCAGATTCTACAGGTGTGGACATACACAGAAGTGTGGTCAGGCTTCCAGCAGCTGCCAAATGCCTTGTTCTCACAACACTCACCCCTGACTACTTCTGCTACTAGTTTTTCCTCATGCTTTTATTGAGAACAACTTTATATTGCATATATGTATGTATGGATGGATGGGAACCATACACATATGTGGCTTGTTTGAGTCTTGCCTAGTAGCTGATCCTCAGGCTGTTTGATCATGATTTTTACATTGTACAGCAGCCCAGACATCAGGGAGATATATGCAATAGAAACTGCAAAGACAAACATGAATAAAAAGGCGCCTGGCTCACGGGCCAAACTTGATTTCATAATGGGTATTGAAACCAGGACCCAATCAAAAGGTCCACTCTCCAGGCCAGGTAACGAGATGCTGACATATCCTCTGTTGCAGTCCAAATAAACACAAGACCCTGCATTGCATCTTGATACCTATGCAATGTTCTCTGAACCACCGCTTTCCCTCATCTATGTGTGTGAGTACACAATACACACACATTCTACAAAGAATTCACGCTGATTGTCAACAGGCTTGTTTCGATATTGCTGCAGTCAGGTATACGAAAAAGTAAAGGGGAAATGGCGAAGGAAACTTAGATTCAGCACCAACTACATTCAAAGACCAATGCTGTGTGCTTTGCATATACTGTCTCAAGTCCCACTATTCCTACTCCTGTCAATTCCAATTTGTAGTGGAATAAACTAAAGTTTGAACCTTATTCCTGTCCCTAATAAACTGTAGGGCCTTGGGTGAGTGAACAGTGAAAACAGGAAGCAGCTTGCATTGAGATGAAAACGTAATACGCATGAAGAGTTGATACACACTTATTGCAGACCCAGGTTCATGGTAGACTCATGTTATATTTACTTAGGTCTATATCCAATGTCATATATTATAAACTTATGACTCCTCCTGCAAAACAAATCCCCAGAAAACCCTGTTTCTTAACCCACATTAAGAAACTTAAAAATAAAACAACCATCTCATTGCCAACCATCTCCCCTACCCAAAGAGAAGCCAAAACAAAATGCAGTCTTGTAGCCAGAAATAAGTCAGTGTTCTGCTTATAAGGCAGAAAGAAAAAATGGATTCAGGTAAGCAACTAGCAATTCCTGCCACAGTGGTTGAAAGGAATTTCAACATGACCAATGCTTGTAATTATTTTGTTTTTCTTTTTGTTTTATTTTTTTTTCAGGAGTAAAACATGGAGTATTAAAAATTGCTATGTCTGGTAGTGAACATATGAATGGCACAGAAAAGTATAGACAGTAATATATTTTTGAAAACTCTGGGACTAGTAATATATATTTTGAGAGTTTAAGAAATAGGAAAATAGGATAACTTTAGGAATGTATCTATATATGCTACTGGTTTCTTCTAGACTGGCCCCAACATAAACTTCTTCCTGCCCAGATCCTTCCTATCACTCCTCCTAAGAACCCAGATCCACTGTCTTCTCCTTGGTGGTCCTTAGTGAACCAGTCAAGTAAAGACAACTATGCCCTTCCATGTTCCAGTGTACCAGAACATATAGTTGAAGCAGCAATCACATTATACAATATTGTTTACTACCTACTAAACCCTAACCCCCATGAGGACAGTCATTGGGTCGTCTACCACTCTCTGCCCGTTGCCTAGCACAGCAACTGGTGCATAGTGAGTGCTCAACACATTGTTGAATTGTGTTAAACATCAGTTTTGTTTCCTAGACTGGATTTCTTGTATAACTTAACATGGTGCCTGGGACAGAAAAGATACTAGGGGAATGAACTAACAAATGCATGAATTCATGACAATGAAAAATACACAAGTGAGAAAGTAAACAAAACCAGTGCACACCCTTTTATGTTGATATTATCCCAATTTCACAGATAATGGCTGTCAGAAAAGTGAATAGTTTCTCCAACAAATTATCCAAGCTTATGATGGGATTGAGATTGAATTCCAAGGATGATTGGCTCTAAATGTTATATTCTTGTCTCTTGATAAGATTTTTATACCTGAGCTCTTAAGACACCAAAACATAGATAATTTCAAGTGTGTTTTGCTTTTTTTTCCCAAAACCATATCATAAACTTATATCTCTTGAATAATCTGCTATTTGCTCAACTTCTAGTATATGCTTTGGGCAGCCTTCCAGCTAGAAAATAAGCCAAAAATTGTTTTGTAGAACATAGCTTTTTGTTATATGAAGATGCAATTAACAGAATATTACCCTCTTCTGAAGGGATATGGCTGTAAAAGGGTTAAAATCCATGAGGCTCACCCCGTGCCCCTAAACAATTGCCCAAGCATGTCCTCCTCTCAAGGAATAACTGGTACAGCAATTACTAGGGTTCAAGGATATATCCTTACTCTCTCTAGAGCCCAGAGGCAATAGAGCTATTTTCTGTAACAGCACAGTTGATCCCTTTATACTCGTTCTGTGACCCAAGTAGACAGACCATTCACAATGTCAAATTCATAAGCCCCTCACAGTGACCTCTGAGAGTCAAGGTCAGCATATGCTTGCTCCCTGTGAATGCATATATTATGGTGGGTGCTCCAATATACAATGCCTCTCAAAGGTCCTGGTTTCAGAATATGTCTCTGCCATCCTCATAGCCCTTCAGCATCATTAGTGATCCCAAGATAGCCAAAATTTAATGAGTTGCAGGGAAGCATAGACTGTGAGACCATCTGGAATGAGTTTGGAGCCAGAACCCACCTGTGATGCATTAGGCCTCAACCCCAGACTGGCTCGGTGGAGAGAAGCTGCCGGGGCCTGCTAATCGAGGAACCTGGGGGAGTGTAACTGGAGAAGGGTGATTTTGGAGCAAAGAGCTTGCCAGGATCTGTTTGTCTCCTGAGTGTGCAGGCAGGCTGTCTATCTAAAGGGTTTAAATTTTCCACATTGTGAAGGGAGAAAATGGCTACCCATAGAGATGGTTTGTCCTTTTCCACACACCTTCTGTGAGAGAAAGAACTCCCTTTCAGATACACCACTGGGCAAAAGATGGTGGAGCCTGGCATATTGAACCTGAGGTTTGGGGGTCAAGCAAGCTAAGTTCTAGTTTTGGCTATTACTCAATTTGCTGGGTGATCTGTTTTCTCATCTGGTTTGTAATAGCTACTGTCTTAGTCCACTTGGGTGGGTATAACAAACTCTTAGACTGGGTGACTTAAACAACAGATATTATTTCTCATAGTTCTAGAGGTTGGGAAATCTAAGATCAAAGTGCTGGCAGATTTATTTCCTGGGGAGGGCCCTCATCCTGGCTTGCAGGCAGCTGCCTTCTCAATGTATCCTCATGTGGTAGACACGTGAGCTCTGGTCTCCTCCTCTTATAAGGACACTAATCCTATCGTGGTGATCTCACTCCTTCCTCTGGGGTTCCCTAGTAAGGTCCTAGTAGAGTCCATACCATACACATAAGAGTCAATAACCATGTTCGAAACAAAGTATCACATGCCTCACAAATAGAGTTGTCTGGTAACATGAAATTGGATTTTCTATACCATCATTAATGTCAACTACAAATAGAGATAGTTTTCTTTTCCCTTACTAGCATTTATACTTCTATTTCTTTTTCATGCTTTATTGCAATGACTAGGAGCTTCAGTAAAATATTGAGTAGAACTAATGAGAGTGACCTCTTTGCCTAGTTCCTGATCTTCTAGGAAAGACATTCAATATTTGTTCACCAAGTATGATATTAACTCTGTGTTTTTCATAGATACCTTTTACCAGATTGAGGAGTTTCCTTCCTATCATTAGTTTGCTAAAATTATTCTTTAAATTTTATTTATGATTTGATTTTTACTGGGAATAAAAGAATAGAGATTAAGTGACTGATACTTGGGAAATTATCAGCATAATTTTAATAAAGCAAATATGTTTGAAGACAATCTTCTTATTTGAGAGAAAAGTATAATATCTAGGTCTTTATAGTTCTGTAAAAAGTATTATATATCTTAATTTGCCTGAGAAAGTTCTAGTATATTTTGGTTGTCTTAGCATCCCATCTATTTTAGGACTTCCCCTGGACTTTTCATTTTTAAAAAAATGTTCTTAGTAGTTACATTAAAATGCCCTGAGATGGATCTGACAGAAAACCACTTTGTACATCAAGCTTCTGCCATGCTCTTGCCAAGTATGCATGGGAAAAGTTCTCACTTTAGCACATGATGAAATAGGAAAGAATCACAATAACTCATACAGTAATTTTTTCCTGACATTTTTCAGATGCAAGGTAAATCAAATGTTCTCCTTCAACAACAGTTTGCTGGGTACTCACTGATAAAATAAACTACACTCAGACATGATTGGATAGAGTTAGCTAACTCCTTTCGGTCCCAGGTAGTGGTGGCAGAAAATTCATTCCGCTTTCCCTATCAGCCATTTGAAGTTGTGCTGTGGCCCTTGCCTTGGGCTTTCAGATGCACAAATCTTCCAGGCTACTAGTCCGTGGGGTAAGCGGGAAGCTTGTGAAATTATGGATTAAGTGTAAATAAAGTATGTGCAAAGGAAAAAAACCAGCTGAGCAGTCCTGAGGTAGATTATATATCCAGCAGTGTAAACACACATGCTACAATGGTCTTGTCATATTTTGTGATAAACATTTCAGCAGCAATCAAGAATGAAAGTGCATGTTTAATGAAAAATTATGTATTAAATTCCCACTTCTCAAAAAAGTTGAACATGAAACATTTACAAAACATTTTGCAACATTTCTTGTCTTCCATAGGGGCCATAGTGATATTACTGAACTCATGAACATCAGGATACACAAATCTGCAGAAAGATCATAATAACTTATTTCACAACTTAATTGTTCTTTCAAGAGAATATTTAAAAACCTCTACCTGAAGTCCACATGCACAGCTGTAGAAAGTACTTCTCTATAACATTCTGTGAAGCATGACTTCTCATTCATCTTCAGGGACTGGCTCTATCAGATTCTTTTTTTAAGATAATTTTGTTCCTATTTAACTCAAGGTTTTCTTGTACTTGCATAAAGGTGAAATAATAACTATTAATATAGTGTCTCTATGAACAAAAGCAAAATTTTGCAAATAGTTACATAAGTGTGATGTTACAAATAGAAATAAATAATCTCAATGGGCAATTTTAAAATCAAATGTATAGAATCAAAGTAAAAATTTTAGTTCACTCTGACAAAAATGAAATATCTAATTCTTTTACAAAACTTTTACAAAAAGTTAAATATTGAAGACAAAAGTATTTTTGTGGTGGTCATAAGAATAATTTTGGTAGAATATTCCATTATAGCAAATAATATTTTTACTAAATTGAGAAATCTATGGTGATATGCAAATGTATTTGAAATTGATTTTGGTACACACATAATTTACACTTGTATTCTCATTGTCATATTCTACAATTGAAATAGAATCTGTAGTTATCAAAATGTATCAATATTTTCAGAGAAATTAGCAAAGACAATGTTGAATATGAAATGAACAAATTTTTTTCTGAGAAAGAATTCAGAAGCAAAACTTCATTCGACAGAACAGTTTGCAAACCAGGGGAGATGCTTCCTTCCCTGTAAAAATGAGGGCTTTACACAAAAGAGAACAAAGGCAGGATTTGGCTTTTATACATAGTTCCTGTCCAGGTTTCCTATCAGTTCTGTTTATGCAAAGTAAGGATTCAAACTTGCTCAGGTCTGATTGGTAGAAGCAGTGGAGTTCTGACTGGTTGGTTCAGGTGATGTGAACAGGAACAATCGGCCATGAAATTCCCAAAGTTAAGCAGCCGTGAGGGTTTTCTGGGACCTCAGAGTATGGGTGTGACCTCTATTCAGCAAATGGCCCCTTGGTTCCATTTTAAAATCAGGCCCAGTTAGCCACTCAGGATTCATCTTAAGGTATTGGCTCTTTCAGGTTCTCACAAATACAGAAATGAATAATAATTCATATCTATAGTAATTCATATCTATAATTTGTATATTTATAAAAACATGACTGAGCTCTTTGCTGTCCTATTATCAATTGGATTTTAGAAATGTTTGAGCCTGGGAAGAGCTATGTAAATCAACTTCAGAGTCATTTGTAAATTACCACTTTAAATTGTGATTGCATTTTTTCATTAATCATTCAAAGAAAAAGCATTAAAAAACCAGCTTTTGAAACCCTAAGTGAATTGCAATAATAGAAAACAAAGCTTAAAAACAGAAAGAGATTGAAATGTATCTCCATATAAGCAAGGGAGAAACCAAACAACTTAGATAATGAGAACTCAAACAGTCAGCAACATTTAACTTTGAAATTCTATAATTGCACTTTGATATATCTTGACTTGGGGAAAGGATCTTTTGCTGGAGCTACTATTTCTAATTGGATAGATGTGTATTCTGTACTGGAATACAACACTGAGAATACTTATACTTTTGAAACATCTAAATTTGGTGACGTAAGAGTCTATTGGATGAGTTATAAAAATATTTGTCAAAGCTTTTCTAAATGGGAAAAAAATGATTATATCCATGAAAATATTGGGGCTATACATATTTTAATACATAAAAATAAAAATTATAAATATTCCCATTTAACAGAATTTCCTGAGCTGACCACATACTGGTAGAGTTTTCTCAATTAAAAATATTTTGCTCTTAAACAAAAATCAAATTGAATTTATTAAGCAAAAAAAAAAAAAAAACAACTTGAAGAATGTGCAGGCAATTGAATGGAAAAAAATAAGACTATACTGAAAAAATGAATCCATCAGGGGGATACTGTGAATGAATTAAAATATATGGGTGCATATGATTTATATTACTTTCTAATGTTCACATAGCCAATATAAAGACATTTTCAGTTATCAGAGACATTACTCTTAAGAAATAATTTTATTTCCAAAAATAATTTGTGAATACAATAATTTCTAGATTGACAACAGATGCTAATCAATTTTTTTAAGTTTGTAAGTTTAATTATTTTAGCGTACTCAAATGTCCCACCTTGGTAGTAACTCATGTGTCACTCTACCTAAAATAAGAGGAAAATCTCTGGCCCATTCTGTGAACAATACAATCACCCAAAACTTAGTTATGTGGCCCCTGAAGGTTATATATTACACTACCTCTCTCAGAAAGGTATTGCTGATGGCAGGCAAATCTGCCCACTCTAAAATGCCAGAAATGATATCTTCCCACTCAATTCCTTTGATTCAATGGAGCCAGGACCCTGGTGTTTAAATTCCCATTCACAAGGGAGCTCACAAATCAAAGAAAATGGCACAGAGAGGACTCCTGCACTAACTAGACCTAGGGGTGGGGGTTTTGTTATCCACTCAATCAGTAATCAGTGTGCTCAGTCTTCTGGGGTGCAGAGATAGGAAAGTCACAACTCCTAGGCTCAATCTACTGGAGATGGTAAAAGCATATTCAACTAATTTTAACACTTGACAACATGAAGTAATGTTAACTAGGCAATCATATCAAATGCAGTGCAAGCCAGAGAAGGCAGCAACAAATTCTAGCTAGGGCATCAGCTGTGGTGACAGTGAGCTGAGGCTTGTGGGATTTCCATAATGGAGGCAGGTGTTTAGAGTTTGAGGGAACAGTAGATAAAAAAAGGCAGAGTGGGAGTGTGTCATACAGCTGGTGTCCAAAAGCAAGTGTTGGGCTGAGAAGTGTTTATTTTCTATGAACACATCTCAACAATGCACATGAGAACCAGCAATAACGGGTAGGCAAGGTGTTGTGTGAGAAATTGCACCCAGGATTTTAAAAGGGAGATCCAGAAGAGGGATATGAACATCTGATGTTCTCCTCATGCTGTTAGAAAGCCCATAAGAAAGATCTGGATGGGAGCTAATGAGGCTTGAGTGACACTGTGCTGCAGATATCCCATAAGCTGGCTTAAGACAGCACAGAAAATGGTGGTGTTTGACAACAGGAAGTTTTCATTCTTTTCGGGAAAAAATTCCTGTACCTTTTTGCCCTGTTCCTCCACCCGTAAAGATTGTGTTCTGACCAGTCATTGGGCTTCAACTGCGTACTCATTGCTATACAATAGTCTAACTTTCCAATACTGTGGCTCCTTCCGGGACAGAAAATGAGAGCTGATAAAGAAAGGCTCATATTCAAGGGAAGAACATAACTCTTTTTTCTCTTTAGTTACTTGGGCACATGATAAATATGTGACATGAGAAGAGCATAGTTCTCAGAACTTTGGCATTTTCATTGCTTTAACGGAGGTTTTTTTTTGTCATTTCACAAAATAGTGTTTGAAAAATAGATAAGCTTAATAATTGGGGGGTCTTAAATGCCCTTCTAAATATTTCAATGTTTTCATATTGCCTACAGCATTGTCTTAGTACATTTGGGCTGCTATAGCAGAATGCCATAGACTAGGTGGCTTTTAAACAAAAGAAACTTATTTCTTACAGTTCTAGAGGCTACGTCCACAATCAAAGTGCTGTCAGATTAATATCCGACAAAGCCTCTTGCTTCCTAGTTCATAGACAACCTTCTTCCTGCTGTCTCCATGTAAGGAAAGCAGCAAGGGATCTCTCTGGAATCTTTTTTTAAAGGGCACTAATCTCACTCATGAGGGCTTCACCCTCATAATCTAAGCACCTACCAAAGCTACCACCCACCTGTTAATACCATCACATTGAGTGTTAAAACTTCAGCATATGAACTTGGGTTTGGACACAAACATTTAGTCTATAGCAAGCATCAAATTCAAAAACTTGTAACAAGTGTCATCCCCCAACTTACACTTTAGGGGGATCACTTTGGTAGCAATCTGAATAACTGATGGGATAGGAGGCATTACAATGAGTATTTAATCAAGAGGCTGATTGAAAAGCTATTCTAATGATCAGCATTGTTTATTTCTATTAAGGCAGTGAAAAAGCAAACTCAAACTATTTTAAAAGTCAAATCAATAGAAGGCAGTGACTTCTGTGGAATATCATAAAGAGTAGAGTCGAATAGTGAAGAGATTTCTAATTGGCTTGTATGGGTGTATAGTGGTAACAACATGAATTGAGTATATAGAAGGAAAAAAAGATATCAGAGTTGAGGAGTGAGTGATAAATTTGCTTGCACCAAACTGAGCTTAGGCCTGGTGGGGACAGACCTCCAGATTGGAACTATTAAGCAGATATTTAGATACATGAATCTAAAGCTCAGGAGAGTAATCAGGACAGCTTGGCTTAGAACCACATGGGAAGGAGAAACACCCTCTCTAATTGTCCTATCACCTTTTAAAATTTTAAAGCTTTATGTCCAGAAATCTGGCAGGCACCCCAGATAATATTTGGTAACTGGATAGACATTCTCTTCAGATGCCCAGAAGTAAAAAAAAAAAATCTGGAAATGCCAATAAAAGCAGTTCCATGCCTTGTTCTTACAAACTTATTTTATTAGTTAGCTGCCCCTAATTTTTCAAAACTGTGTTAATGCATGTCTGTTCTTTTTCTTAATAAAGGCAATTATATTTTAATGCATTTGGTTGAAATACTGCCAAGAAGTTGCAGGCAACAATATGCAACTGTAACTGGAAATACGCAGCACCTACTTGGCCAAAAACAACCCTGCCAGAGACCACCCATTCACACAGCAAAAGAGCTCTGTATCATACATGCTCTGCCCCATCCATTGTTCCAGTGGTCCAGGGAGGGGACCCCCAAGTCTGCTGGAAACCTGGACCCTATTTAGGAAGGTAATGAAGAAAAAAAGAATATGTCATGTAGAGATTGTAATGCAGGGATGGAATTTAGGAAGTCCACACTCTGCTTTGTTCCTGGCCAGACTTAAAGACTGGCCAACTCCCTTAGCCCAGGGCTCTTTCCACGTCCCCTGCCACTGTAGGAGCAGCCCTGGCAAGGCTTGGCTTTTGCTATGCCAACATTTGAAGAATGAATTTGAGTAATATCAAGGTAGTTTTAGGTGCTTGATGTATTAGTTAAGGTTCTTTTGGTTGCAAATAAATAGAAACCAACTAGCACTGATTTGGGTTTAAAAGCTTTTGCAGGAAAGAATGCTGGAATATCACATGGAATCCAAAAGAAGTTAATAAAACAACAAAATGGGATAAGAATAGGGATTTCTCTAGGGGCACACAGTAGTTTATAGACCTTTTTGGAAGCATTTCAATGTATGTTAATTGACTCCCAATTTCCAGGCTCCAGGCCTTGGGTAAAATTCTCAAAGGAAAGAATGTCACCTATTTTAACCAGCTTACAGCCAAAGGGTGCTACAGAGATAACATGTCAATATGGCTCTCATGACCCTAATCTATGGATCAGGACCCTTTTCTGCAAAAGAAAAGTGGCTGGGAAGATACTCCAATGAATGTCTACCATACTAGAGTAGTGGCGTCAATTGGGGTGTTCAGTGTCAAGGTTTATCAGTGCTATCATTAGGTTATTCCATAACATCTCAGTGGTAACGAAACTTATTTTTCCCTCACATTACATGCTGACTTCAAATAGGCTGTGGCTTCGTTCCAGGTTATGGGTCAGCTGCAGGAATGTTTCCTGGGTCTTTTTTATTCTGGGATTCAGGCTGAAGACACAGACCCTATCTAGGACATGCCATTCTTGTGGCAGAGATAAATGAACAAATGTTGAAGCACAGAACAGCTCTCACAGTTTCTGCATGGACATAATTATGTTACTTTCTCTCACATTCTATTGGCTAAACCAAATCACATGTCCAAGCACCACATCTGTGTTGCTGGGAATAGTTCTCCCATAGGGAAGTACTGCAAATTTATAGTAACAGGTAGATCTGTATAATCCTTTACAAGGAAGTGGATATGTATAATCCTTTATAAGGAGGGGAGTGAATACCAGATTACTATGATAATATCTACTGAAAGTAATTGAAGTTGGTCTTCAGACTGAGGTACTGAAGTCAGCCGAGCTTCTGATGCCATTTAGAGCTGGTGCACAAGATATGGCCCTGATCACTAAAATAAGCATGAGCCACTTACCTGGGCTTATGCCTAGCTCTCATTCCTACTGTTCCCATCACTGCGTCTGGCTGTGCTTTAAGTTACTGATAGGCTAACCTACCTGGTAGCCCTGTTACCACCACTTTGTGTTTAGGCCAGTCTGACTCCTTTATATGGAACATATCTGGCAGCTAATAGAAGGAAATGTCAGGTCAAATTGTTTGATAATTTTGCTCAAGTCTTATAACAGCTAGACAGAAAATCAGTAAAGATATATATCAGTTACTTAGAGGGGATTGCTGAAAGCTCTGTAGTGATTAATTTTATGTCTTAACTCAGCTGGGCCATGGGGTGCCCAGACGTTTGGTCAAATATTGTTCTGGATGTGTCTTTGTGGGCAATTCTGAGTGAGATTAACTTTTGAATTGATAGACTGAGTAAAACAGATCGCCTTCCCCAATGTGGGTGGGCCTTGTCCAATCGAAGATCTGAGTGGAACCAAAAGGCTGAATAAGAGGAAGTTTTGCCCACTTAGCTGTTGTGCTGAAACATTATTCCTGCCCAGATAGGAACTTACCCCATTGGGTTTCCTAGGTCTCCAGCTTGCCAACTGCAGAATTTGGAACTTCTCAGCCTCCATAACCACAAAAGCCAATTTCTTATAATAAATAGGTATATATACATATCTATGTGTATATATCTGTGTATGTGTATATAAATGTGCACTTGTGTATATATGTATATATATGCTTGATATATATACTAATGGTTCTATTTTTCTGAAGAACCACAACTAATATAATATTGAACTACAATATTTCAATTGTCTATTTCTCCTTTCAATCCAATCAGTTTTAAAATGTATTTTGGAGTTCCTTATTGGCATTTTTATCACTATAAAATTACCTTTTTTGTCTTTAGCAATATTTCTTTTTTTTATTATACTTTAAGTTCTGGGGTACATGTGTAAAACACGCAGGTTTGTTACATAGGTATACACGTGCCATGGTGGTTTGCTGTACCCATC